>NC_000001.11:245881091-246032606 GCF_000001405.40 Homo sapiens | reverse complement strand
ATTCCTAGCATTTGAATGCGAGGGAATGGAGCTTTATGATCCCATCTTTGGTGAGAGGTTGTTGCTCAGTGAATCAAGGGCAGAGCCAGGACTCGGATATGAGCTCTCCATCCCGTTCTGTCTGGCTGCCATCTGTCTCTCCTTCAGTGCTAGGGCAGGCAGCTCATGGCTGGTAATGCTCAGAAATGCAGATACTATCAATTATTGGTGTGTTAGCGGCAAATATGTGGGTAGAGGAGGGGGAGAGTGAGAGATTCCCAGGTGTTAGGTGACCTGATCATGACAGGTACTGAAACTCTGAGGCCATTTATGGTTATGAGATGCACTGTGGGGAATTGCAGCCCCTTCCTGTAATCTACAGGGTTATTTCTGGGTGACATTTTGACAGGAAGATGTCCTGTGGGAAAAGACTGCTAACTCAGTTTGCCTGCCCAACAGTTAATTATTAATACTTCATGGCTGAAAGTGGAGTAATGTTCCTTGTATGCCTTTTATGGAGTTCTTGGTATTTTGTTTATTCTTTTTTTCTGATAAAAAGGAGAAGGTTTTATTAAGCAGTTTGAGAAAATTACAGCCACAAAATTGCACGTTGCTTCGAGGGTGTAAGGGTCGTTTCAACGTAACTTTAGAGTCTCTGTAATTTATGCTGCTACAGGAAATATCCCTTCTGTCTCAGAGATTTTAAACAAAGGCAGGGTGGTTATCACTCTGCTTTCTACAGCCTAAATATTGTTTCTGAATTAAAATGGCTGATTTCAATTTAGTCTCTGCAGACTACAATAAAGCTAGAATGAAACCAACCTAATTTTATCTTCATAGCAGTAAAACCCTTTGAAATCAGCTTCTTCACTAACTTTTTTTTTTTTTTTCGAGACAAAGTCTCGCTCTGTCGCCCAGGCTGGAGTGCAGTGGCGCGATCTCTGCTCACTGCATCCTCCGCCTCCCTGGTTCAAGCGATTCTCCTGCCTCAGCCTCCCGAGTAGCTGGGACTACAGGCGCCCGCCACCACGCCTGGCTAATTTTTTATATTTTTAGTAGAGATGGGGTTTCACCACGTTAGCCAGGATGGTTTTGATCTCCTGACTTCGTGATCTGCCTGCCTCGGCCTCCCAGAGTGCTGGGATTATAGCCGTGAGCCACTGCGCCTGGCCCCATAACTTCTTTTTAATCTGAAATAATTTTTATTTCCAGGGATCAATGTTATTTCTATTGTAATAATGGATTTTGCCAGTTAATACTTCATTTGGTTTCTGACCTTGATATTTAATATATATTTAATACCTAAATAAGATTCCAGAAGTTGGTCTGAATAAACCCATAATCCTTCTTTGCTTGACAACTAGTTTGCTACCAAGATCATTTAGTATGATTTATTATAATGATTATCGTATCAATGGTCCTTTCTTTATGTGATTTCCTATGAAAACCCTGTATAATAGTGTCATAAAACATTGCTAGAAACATACAGATAAAAGGTCTAGTCTATAGCCCTCACTTTATGTATAAGCAAGTTCCTTACCTGGCAGGTGATTCCATACTAAGTTTGTCTGGGAATAAGAAGCTTGTAATACATCAGTGATTTTTTCAAACAGTGTTTTGGGGAAGCAGCCCTGTCCTCTCCCTACAAGCACAGGCATGCTTGTGCACCCCCACTAAACACGTCCACATGCCTTGCCTTGATTTCATGAGATCACTGTTACTGGGGGATTCTATTTTGGGATTTACGTAACATTGTTTGATGTAAGCGTTCCACTGCAAAAAAAAGTTTGAAAACTGTAGTCAAGAGGCTTAATAAGGCTTTTTAGGGCTCTGACATCAATGATACATAGTAAATAACGTAATTTGTGTGCGGGTTTGTATTTATGATCTATGTGACAGGTGTGGCGATGGTGCAACTCCTTTTTTCCTTTTTAGTTGACACATAATAATTGTACACATTTATGGGATACAGAGTGATATTTTCATATGTGTATATAATATGTAATGATCAAATCAGAGTGATCACTATACCATCACCTCAAATATTTATTTGTGTTGTGAACATTAAAAAATACTCTCCTCTAACTTTTTGAAAAATATAATACAGTTGAGCATATTCAGCGTACAATGCTGCAGAACACGCAAACTCCATCCTCTCTATGTAACTGTAATTTTGTATCCATCAAACAACCTCCCTCCCATTCTTCCATTTCCCAGCCTCCAATACCCACAAGTTCTACTTTGATGAGCACAAAACAACATCTTTTTTGCTCCCACATAAGAGCCAGAATATGTGATATCTGTTTTTCTGTGCTTGACATATTTCACTTAACATAATGTCCTTCGGGCTCATTCCTGTTGCTGCAAATGACAGGATTCCATTCTTTTCTATGGCTGAATAGTACTCCATCATGTCTGTATCTATGTTTTCTTTATCCATTAATGCTTCATGCGTGAAAGTAGAGTGGTGTTACTTGTATGTCTTTTATGGAGTTAAATATCCACTGATGGATATTTAGGTTGATTCAGTATCTTAGCTATTGTGAATAGTGCTGCAATACGCATTGGGGGTGTGCGTATCCCTTTGATTTCCTTTCTTTTGTAAAAAAAAAAAAAAAAAAGAAAGAAAGAAAGGAAACCCAGTGCTGGGATTGCTGGATCCTATGGTAGTTCTCTTTTAGTTTTTTTGTGGAAATGCTGTGCTCTTTTCTACAGTGGCTGTACCTATTTGCATTCCCACCAACAGTGTGTGAGTTCCCTTTTCTCTGCATTTTCACCAGCATGTTATCTTTTCTTTTTTTGATAACAGCCATCCTAACTGTGGTAAGATGATATTTCATTGTGGTTTTGATTCGTATTTCCCTGGTGATTAGTGATGTTGAACATTTTTTCATATATTTGCTGGCCATTTGCATATTTTCTTTTTCTTTTTCTTTCTTTTTTTTTTTTTTTTTCTGAGACAGAGTCTCACTCTGTCAGCCAGGCTGGAGTGCAGTGGTAGGATCTTGGCTCACTGCAACCTCTGTCTCCCGGGCTCAAGCAATTCTCCTGCTTCAGCCTCCTGGGTAGCTGGGATTACAGGCGTGTGTCACCACGCCTGGCTAATTTTTTGTATTTTTAGTAGAGATGGGGTTTCACCATTTTGGCCAGGCTGGTCTGAACTCCTGACCTCAGGTGATCTGCCCGCCTCTGTCTCCCAAGGTGCTGGGATTACAGGCATGAGCCACCGTGCCTGGCCTGCATATTTTCTTTTGAGACATTTCTATTCATATCATTTGCCCACTTTTTAACTGGATTATATTTTGGATATTAATTCCTTGCTGAACATGTAATTTGCAAATATTTATTGCTACAGATTGTCTCTTCAGTCTCTTGATTGTTTTCTTTGCTGTACAGAAACCTTTTAGTTTAATATAGTGCCATTTGTCTATTTTTGTTGGCTGTACTTTTGAGGTCTTAGCCATAAAATATTTGCCTAGACCAATGTCCTGAAGTGTTTTCTTCTAGTAGTTTTATAGTTTTGGGTCCTATGTTCAAATCTTTAATTCATTTTGAGTTTACTTTTGTATACAGTGATAATGGTCTCCTTTCACTCTTCTGCTTTGGATATGGAATCTTCCCAACACCATTTATTGAACAGGGTGTCTTTTCCTCAGTCTGTTTTCTTGACACATTTTACAATTGGTTGGCTGTAAATATGTGAATTTATCTCTAGGTTCTCTATTCTATGCTAATGGTTTGTGTGTTTGTTTTTATACCAGTACCATATGGTTTTGGTTCCTATAGCTTTGTAGCATATTTTGAAGTCAGGTAGTGTGATACTTCCTGTTTTGTTATTTTTGCTCATTATTGCTTTGGCTATTCATGGTCTTTTGTGTTTCCATACAAATTTTAGGATTTAAAAAAATATTTCTGTGAAACATGTGGTTTGGTATTTTGACAGGTATTACATTACATCTGTAGATTGCTTTGGGTAGCATGGTCATCTTAACAATATTAATTCTTCCAATTTATAAGCATGGGACATCTCCATTTGTTTGTATTCTCTTCAGTTTCTACCATCAGTGTTTCATAGTTGTCCTTCTAGAGTTCTCTCTCCTCCTTCAATAAATTTATTGTTAGATACTTTATTTATGTTTTTGTAGCTGTTGTAAGTGGAATTGCTTTTCTAATTTCTTTTTTCACTACTTCGTTATTGATGTATAGTTTTGTATATTGATTTTGTATCTTGCAACTTTACTGAATTCATTTATCAGTTCAAAGAGTTTTTTGGTGGAGTCTTTAGATTTTTCTGTATATAGGATTATGTCATTCACAAAGAGGGACAATTTGACTTCCTTTTTTCCAATTTGGATGCCCTTTGTTTCTTTCTCTTGCCTGGTTGCTCTGACTAGGACTTCCACTACTCATTATTGATTTTTTCAGGTTTTCTCCTTCTTCCTAATTCAATTTTGGTAGGTTGTGTATGTCTAGGATTTATTTCCTTTAGGTTTTTCAGTTTGTCAGCATTGTCAAGATTGTTGTTCGTAACAGTCTCTAATGATCCTTTGTATTTCTGTGGTATCAGTTGTAATGCCTTGTTTTTCATTTCTGATTACTTTCTTCACTGAAGATTTGACCCCCTCAAAGTCATCCATGAGGATTGGAATCAACCTTCCAAACTCTTGTTAATGTTGATATTTTGATCTCCTTCTATGAAGTATGAGTGTTCCTAATGGTGTCTGGAATAGTGAATCCTTTCCAGAAGGTTTTCAATTTACTGTCCCCAGATCCATCAGAAGAATCAATATTGATGGCAGCTATAGCCTTACAAAATGTATTTCTTAAATAATAAGACTTGAAAGTTGAATTACTCCTTGATCCATGGGCTGAAGACTAGATTTTGTGTTAGTAGGCAAGAAAACAGCATTCGTCTTCTTGTACATCTCCATCGGAGCTCTTGGATGACTAGGTGCGTTGTCAATCAACAGTAATGTTTTCAAAGCAATCTTATTCCTGAGCAGTAGGTCACAAGAATGGACTTCAGATATTCAGTAAACTATGCTTAAAAACAGATATGCTGTCACCCAGGCTTTGTTATTACATTGGTAGAACATGGGCAGTACAGATTTACCACAGTTCTTAAGGGCTGTAGGATTTTTTAAATGGTAAATGAACATTTGCTTCAACTTAAAGTCACCAGCTGGCATTAGACCCTAACAAGAGAGTCATTCTGTCTTTTGAAGTTTTGAAGCAAAGCATTGACCTCTCCTCTAGTTATGGAAGTCTTAGATGGTATCTCATCCCAATATAAGGCGGTTTCATCTACACTGAAAGTCTGCTTTTCCTTGTTGCCACCCTCATCAGTCATCTCAGCTAGATCTTCTTGATAACTTGCTGCAACGTCACCTTGCAGTTTTAAGTTACGGAGATGGCTTCTTTCCTTAAACCTCATGAACCAACCTCTGCTACTTTCCACCGTTTCTTCTGTCGTTTCTCACCTCTCTCAGCCTTTATAGAATTTAAGCAAGTTAGGGCTTTCCTCTGGATTAGGCTTTGGCTTAAGGGAATATTGTGGCTTATTTGATCTTCTGTCCAGATCACTCAGACTTTCTCCCTATCAGCAATAAGGCTGTCTCACTTTCTGATTATTTGTGTGTTCACTGGAGTAGCACTTTTAATTTCCCTCAAGAGTGTTTCTTTTGCATTTACAAGTTGGCTAACTGTTTTGTGCAACACATGTGTCTTTCAGTTTATCTTAGTTCTCGACATGTCTTCCTCACTGAGCTTCATCATTTCTAGCTCTTGAATCACAGCGAGAGATGTGCAACTCCTCCTTTCACGTGAACACTTAGAGGCCATTGTAAGGTTACTAACTGGGCTAATTTCAGTATTATTGTGTCTCAGGGATATGGAGGCCTGAGGAGAGGGAGAGAGACAGGAATGAAGTTGGTGAAGCTGTCAGAATGCACACATTCATGGATTAAGTTAACTGTCTCATATGGGCACTGTTCATGGTGCCCCAAAACAATTACAGTAGTAATGTCAAAGAACACTGATAAGCATCACAGATAGAACAGTGAAAAAGTTTGAATTATTGTGAGAATTACCAAAATGTGACAACAGACACATGAAGTGCACACATGCTATTGGACAAATGGTGCTAATAGACTTGTTCAACAAAGGATTCACAAACCTTCTATCTAGTAAACACAAGATCCATGAAGCACAGCAGAGTGAAGCTCAGTACACGCAATGAGGTGTACTTATAATTTTGTTTAGTGGAGTGCGTCTTTCAAGGGTATGTGATTAAACTCTGTATATCCTATAGATGCAGGTAATTACTTAGAAGTCACTGATATAAATGAGTATTTGATCTAAGACTTCTTTATGCTCTCTTCTGCAAGACCTAGGGAAGGTCAAAAGAAGGACTGTTTTTGAAGAAAGAGAAACTTTTTTTCTGGTATGGGTTTTCATTTTCTTTTCTTTTTTTTGGCGGGTGGGGGATGAAGTCTCACTCACTCTGTCACATGGGCTGGAGTGCAGTGGCACGATCTTGGCTCACTGCAATCTCTGCCTTCACTGCAACCTACCTCCTGGGTTCAAGCGATTCTCTTGCCTCAGCCTCCCAAGTAGCTGGGACTTCCCACCAGCACGTGTGTCTAATTTTTGTATTTTTAGTAGAGACAGTGTTTTACCATATTGGCCAGGCTGGTCTTAAACTCCTGGCCTCAGGTAATCCACCTGCCTCGGCCTCCCAAATTGCTGGGATTACAGGCATGAGCCACTGTGCTGGGCCAGGTTTTTCTTTAGAACACTTGGGACTCTCACATATAGCACCTTAGGTCACTGAAAATTCTGTTGCTTCCTCTCAGTAACATCACTGAATCTATACCTCTATTGAGCTTAATCATACATCACTCAGATGACAAAGGGAGAGATCATGCTCACTTCCTTCATCAAGAGGGTACATTGCTAAGCTTATGGCTGGAGTCTCTGTCTTTGCAAAGACACCAAGTCCTGGAAATTTCTGTCTGTGCTTTCTTTGTGGTTGGTGTGGGCTAGCCTAGTGTATAGGACGCAGCTTTTTCTGAGGTATGAGTGTTTTGACCTTACATAATTCTCTTCATGATTCAATTAATGAATTCCAGAAAATGACCGTCACAGTACTGGTACCTCTTTTCGGTTTTTAGAGGGATGTGAGACGTCTTTGTGTTTGGGACACATTTGGGTGGAGGGTACAGCTCCCTTTCTGATGGCCACTGTCATATTCAGGGCAATCTGTTTCTTTTCTTCTGAATTAGATTTGCTGTATCTTCCTTCCTAGATGCTGTCCACTTGCTGTATCTCCCTTCCTAGATGCTGTCCACTTGCTGTATCTCCCTTCCTAGATGCTGTCCACTTGCTGTATCTCCCTTCCTAGATGCTGTTCACTTGCTGTATCTGTCTTCCTAGATGCTGTCTACTTCCTGTATCTCCTTCCTAGATGCTGTCCACTTGCTGTATCTCCCTTCCTAGATGCTGTCCACTTCCTGTATCTCCTTCCTAGATGCTGTCCACTTCCTGTATCTCCCTTCCTAGATGCTGTCCACTTGCTGTATCTCTCTTCCTAGATGCTGTCCACTTGCTGTATCTGTCTTCCTAGATGCTGTCCACTTGCTGTATCTCCCTTCCTAGATGCTGTCCACTTGCTGTATCTCTCTTCCTAGATGCTGTCCACTTCCTGTATCTCCTTCCTAGATGCTGTCCACTTCCTGTATCTCCCTTCCTAGATGCTGTCCACTTGCTGTATCTCCCTTCCTAGATGCTGTCCACTTGCTGTATCTCCCTTCCTAGATGCTGTCCACTTGCTGTATCTGTCTTCCTAGATGCTGTCCACTTCCTGTATCTCCTTCCTAGATGCTGTCCACTTCCTGTATCTCCCTTCCTAGATGCTGTCCACTTGCTGTATCTCCCTTCCTAGATGCTGTCCACTTGCTGTATCTGCCTTCCTAGATGCTGTCCACTTGCTGTATCTCCCTTCCTAGATGCTGTCCACTTGCTGTATCTCTCTTCCTAGATGCTGCCCACTTCCTGTATCTCCTTCCTAGATGCTGTCCACTTCCTGGATCTCCCTTCCTAGATGCTGTCCACTTGCTGTATCTGTCTTCCTAGATGCTGTCCACTTGCTGTATCTCCCTTCCTAGATGCTGTCCACTTGCTGTATCTCTCTTCCTAGATGCTGTCCACTTCCTGTATCTCCTTCCTAGATGCTGTCCACTTCCTGTATCTCCCTTCCTAGATGCTGTCCACTTCCTGTATCTCCTTCCTAGATGCTGTCCACTTCCTGTATCTCTCTTCCTAGATGCTGTCCACCAATACATCTTTAACCTTTTGTTGTTCAGGCAGAATGAGGTTCCTCTTTTTTGGGAAAAAGATAAAATGTAAGCTATATAGTACATCTGTGACTGTATCCTGGAATATTTCTTGTTTTCTCGCTTCCATATTATATTGCAGAAAGCAGAATCTGATGGAGTATGAAAAAATATTGGACTATGATAGAAGCAACCTGATTTTCATCTCAATTTGACCTCTAGGTTACCTGGCCAGGACATTTGCTGTAAATTCAGTGATCTCTGTAGTTCCTCATTTTATCCCCTCCCACCTAACAGTGATAGTCATATAATAATTTTGAAAGAATTAACTGTCTTTATTCTTTATTTTTTTAACCAAATCATCAGTATATGCCATCCACAGAAGTCTCTCTGAAATAGTAGCTAACAACTACTAGGTGTGTACTAAGTACTGGGTGATATTTTTCAGTAACACACACACACACACACACACACACACACACACACAGTTTTGTAATAGTCCTGTGAAGTGGGTTCTGAGGTTAAATGACTCACCAAAGATACATAGCTGGAAATTGGAAATCCAGGATTTGAACTCACGCCCCTGTAGCCCCTGAACGTGCCGTCTTTTTTGTTGTATGTCCCTCTCTTTGTCTTAAAGTGGAAAGCAAGAGCTTCATTCTTCTAGTAAATATAACTCCCAAAGTGAAACAATTTATTCTGAGCATCATCCTCTACACTGTGAAAAGTACAAAACATAAGTCCTTTTTTTTTCCTTGACAATGCTAAAATAGTAATGATTTTGGAAAATGGGAAAGAACAACTCTTTTCTACTGAAAACTGTGGGGGAAATGATTCAAGCAGCTACACTTGGTCATTTTCAGACATTTAATATTCTCTGTCATATCTTTGAATTCTCTAATCTAGTAACAAGACACATTTGATTAATCTGCGAGAGCTAGCTATATTATCTCATCTCTGTTTTCTAATTGCTCGTTTTGAAGGACCACAGTTATGCACAGACAGACATTCCAACACAGCTCTCCCTCGGTGCCTTCAGCATATCATCTCTTGAGACTCTTCTCACTGATTAGCAAGAGCTTGGTTTTTAAGTAGATGCTTCTTTAATTCCCAGCACTTGTGTCTCTTAGCTGTTCTCATTCACCGTGGATACTGAAACCAGGGCAGTTACACTGTGAGTTGGAACAAAAACCTGCCTGTGTCCTAAATGGAGAGGCACACCTGATTGGGAAGTTTAGAGAATGGATTGGTAGAGAAGTTCGGTGGTATACTTTATTGATGCTTAAAAATCGTACAGTCTAACAAGTGATCTCACTCTTTCTAAATTGCATCCTATATCCTGATTTGAAAAAGGGAAATGGAAAATTCTTCACAGAATTAAAATTTAGATAAGAAAATCTAGAGTTAAGGTTGCTATTTTTGCTATTTACTGTTGTGAGGTGGTATTACCCTGGCACCATGGAAAGTGCGAAGTGAAAGCCTTCTCCTCCCAGCCACTCCTAATTTTTGAAAGGGATTTATTGTAACAATTTGGTATGTGTCCCAGAATACTTTCCATGTGTATCCACACAATATTTGCACATGCAGAGTTATATTAGTTATACCCATCTACAATTTGCTGGAAACATTTTCTTAACAATGACACAGGCCATCTTTCTACGCTGATAGATACAGCCCTATCTTTTTAAAATGTCCATATACATAATGTAGCATAATAATAATTGCTAACATTTATTGAGCTCGTATATGTCAAGTGTTTTACTAAACTCTTTATATACAGACGAGGAAACCAAGATTTACAGAGGTTATGTAAGTTGCCTCAGGTCGCACTGTTAGTGTGTGTCAAAGTCAGGATTTAAAGCAAGGCTGCGTGGCTCCAGAACCCACGTTCTTACCCCCTCGCTGTGCACTGTAGTTCTCATACTCAATCTCCTATTGATAGACATTGGCCCTCATTTTCCACCATAACAAACATTTCTGTAATGAACATCTTCGTATAGAGATGCTTGAGAGAGCATTTTTCTCTGATATGTGCATTTTAATGTTTGAGAACCAACCTGGTTTTTGAAAACAATTTTTGCCCATATTGACTTGTGCAAAGAGGTGATGGCCTCTCTGTAGAGGGACTGATGTCTTAAGTACAGCAATGCATTTGCTTCATAATGATCATGAATTTGCGTTCTCTCGTCATTTGATTTAGACTTTCATTTGTTTAACGAAGGACCACAGTCTGTGGCTGTGTTCAGCAGTGCTCACTCTTAGTTGCTGTGGATGTTCATGTTTCCAGCGATCAGTGTCCCTCTTAACCTAGGAGAGGAAACGCTGATTATGTCACAGTTTGAAGTGCTGTGCCCCTACCAGTCAAACCTTCCAAGAGGTCACAGACAGAATGTCGAAGCAACACAGAACCCACGAAGTGAGCTGCTGATATCCTATGCTCAATATCACATTGAAATGCACAGTTTCATTTTTCCATCTTTCCATTTTCCATTTGAATGGGTTTTGATTTGCTGAAAAATGAATAAAAATATACAAACAAAAAACTTGCTATGTAAAATTTTTGCCTGTATTGCTGAGAAAGCAATAGAATTGAATTGAGATAGCTTTTCATCAATGGAGTGATAATTAATCAGGGTGTAGGGAGGCTGATCAATAATATAATGATGAATAAGTAAATGTTCTGCCTTCCAAGAAGCATTTCCTGGACCTCTTTCTTTCCACAAATCTGCATGACCAATCTTTATGCTAGACTGGGTGGCTAGTTGGCCAGGCAGGTATTTTTGTGGTTGTACGAACTCAAGTCTGTGGACGTTAGTCCTTCTCTGAGGCCACTTCCTCACCTCCCATTACTTAACTACAGACAATTCTGTGTCAGGGGCTCTGTGGCGCAGTGTGGGTGATCAGGAATCAGAATATACCATCTGTACCACAGGAAGATTAACTCTAAGTCTTTCTTCAGGCTAGAGCTATATTTTGTACTCAAACAAAAAGACATAGTAGAATTCTGTACCCATGTCAGAAGGCTTCAAAGCTCCTCTGTCTTCCTTGAACTTTGCTGTTTGGTGACAGCAAGGGCAGTAGAAGTGGAACTCCTGACCTTCACCCGAGGTGAAGAAAGGAACTTCTATCAGAGACTGAGAGATACACTTCATACTTTCCTTCTCTCTGTTAAATTGGTGACTGCCTTGTGATTGTCACATGTTTCTGGTATTGGCGTTGAGAATCATTCACCGTTACCTTTACAAAGCAATGATATTCTCTTTAGTTTTTATGTTTACAATCAAATTTGCTGTTTACTTAGACAAACCTATACACGTTTGTTCTGGGAGCTGTATGAACAGGTACATGCTCATGCAGGTAGGCCTTAAGAAGAGGGAGATGTAGGTTTGATGCTATAATGAATGATGAGTTTCAGATTCAGTCACGTTAAAAGTTGAGAGGGTGGGAATCAGAGAGCCAGAAAAGTGGTTAAGACCATGAGTTTACAGTCAGGCTTTCTGACTTCAATTCTGCTTCTAACCTAGAAAAACCTATTCACACTCCTGGGCTTCAGTTTTCTTATCTATAAAATGCGACTGATTATTATGATGAGTATCTACTTTGTAGCTTATCATAGAATGATGTGAGTTTACACCGATAGAGCATTTAGAATACTATCTGACATATAGCGCTCAGTTCAATAAGTGTTAGCTACTGTTATTATTGTTATGATTTCATCATAATTATTATTTTGCTATTCTAACAGCCTCCTTTCTTGTAATGAGTCAGGACCAAAACTAAAGCATTTGAAATGGAGAGGTTAAAGTTTCGAATACCAAGTTAGGTTTAGTGTTTGTTGGAAAGGAAACAGAATTTACAGACTTTGTAGGCTTTTGAAACCTAAGAAGCCAAGAAGAATTCTCTTCATTATGTAATTTCCCATAGCTCATTAGGAAATCAAGACCACAAGAAGCCTCCCCAATGTGTTTAGTAATTTCTCGTTGAAAATCACAGGTCTTGAGAACACTGTTTTATTTATGGTACTTTTTAAAAGGTATTGTGCTGAAGAAAAGGAAATCAGTATAGATTTTGCTTGCCTGTTAGCCTCTAGATAAGTCTTATTGCAGTCAGCAGTCTGCTGTGTTCTTGTGCAATGGTGGCAGAAATAGATGTCAAATCCGTCAGTAGGACAGGATTACGTTCAGACGGACCCCATAAGACACTGCTTTGATTGGGTAGAGGAGGCTGTGAAATCCCTTGGTTCTGAGAATTGAATACTTGTGAAGATGATAGTAAACTCTTCTGGCAGGCAAGTAACAAGTCTATAACCAAGAAGATATATATTGTGTTTGTGAAGAGAAAAATCTCCTTTCTTTCTAATATATCTTACATATCTTGTTAAATTGCTTCATGCCATGCTGCTATATATGTATTTTCTTTCAAAGGCCTGAGTTCCAAGAAAGCAACAATTTTATTTGTAATACTGTTCTTTATTTTTAAAACTATGTATTTTATATATGTACATTTATATATATGTATGTATATATTTACATTTAGTACCTTGGTACTGGCCTTATAGGATTTGAAAAAATTAAATTAATAATTACATTTTTCTTTCATTGGCATTTAAGATAGCACAGATGGACCTAGGTAATCTAGATATGAATTCTTGACCACATGACAAACACAGATTTAAAACTTTATGAATTAGGTGAGTCCCTTTATGTCAAGAACACAGCTACGATCATCTTTTGTGGAAATAACAAAGATAGGGTTTTTTTGGTTGGTCTTTTTGACAATGCTTTTGGATTCTATAAGGTTCTATGACCAGTATTTGTAACTCAGACCTAGGATTTAGAAAAAGTCATTGCCTACATGAAAAATATTCCTCTTTTAGCCTTTCTTTTCTAATGTCTTGTTTTGGAAGAAATCAAAAGAATAGCTGTAAAGCGTTTGAGAGACTCCAGAGCAGCGTTTGACACTAGTGACATTTTGGGCTGGATAACCTTTGGTCGTGGGGGCTGTCTTGTGCATTGTAGGGTGTGTAGCAGTATCCTAGGCCTTTGCCACTAGATGCTAATCATACTTTCCTACCCAGTCTTCAGACTCAGAAATGTCTCCAAACATTGCCAGACTTCCAGGGGGAGGAGCAAAATCAGCCCTGATTGAGAATCACTGGAGTGGAGAGTAATGGAGAAGTTCAGAAATGCAAAAAGCTCAGAGAAAAATGGGGCTCAGAGGAAATAGAAAAGTAGCAAGGGGTTCAGGCTTTCTAAATCAACAAAATACAATTTTCTATTAAAAAAAATAAGTCAAGAACCAAATAAGATATCAAGAAATTATCTGCAACATTTAAGCCAAAGCATTGATACCTTTAACACACATACAGCGTAAACTAATCAAGAAGAAATCTGCTGGGCATGGTGGCTCATGCCTGTAATCTCAGTGCTTTGGGAGGCCAAGGCAGGAGGATTGCTTGAGCACAGGAGTTTGAGACCAGTCTGGGAAAAATAGCAAAATCCATCTCTACAGGAAAAAAAAAAAAAAGCCAGCATGGTGGTGCACACCTGTGGTCCTAGCTACTTGGGAGGCTGTGGCAGGAAGATTGCATGAGCCCCGGAATTTGAAGCTGCAGTGAGCTGTGATTTTTGCCACTGTACTCCAGCCTAAATGACAGAGCAAGACCCCATCTGTAAACAAAGAAAAAAAGTTTAAAATCAATGAGGTGTGTATAGGTAAATAGACAAAGCACGTGAAGCACAATTTTTACAGAAATATGATGGCAAACATTTAAAATATTCAGACTCATCTATGAAATTGATAATGTCTTGTTCTTACTGTTTCTCTAAAGCTCAGTTCAAAAGTCATGAGATGAGGCAGAGCAAGTTGAGTGCCTTGACTGTGGAGCGTGGGGTCCTGGGAGAGAGGGAAGCCACTTTGGCTCAAAGCTGAGTGTCTGAACTCAGGGGAGTGAGAGCATTCACGTGGAAACCTGGCAGCCGGGCAGGAGAGGGCAACAGAGACACGGCTGGTTGTTTTGGAAAGGGAAGGAACTGGAATAAAACTCTGTTCATTAGAGAGACTGGTGTGAACTCTTGGTATTCCACAGAGAGAAAGAGCTGTGTAGAAATAAACATAGATGCAGATCTTTGTGTCTGTGTGTTCCACATACGTATATTTCCCGGCTGTGTCCACTGAGAGGACCTGGGAACTGTAACACCTAGTGCACACCTAGTCTGGGACTTTGGCTTCTAAATACTGTTCGCTACTTAAAGGTGCTCTTTGGAAGAATGGCTGATTCCAGGGCTGGGACAGAGAAGTAGAAGATGAGCCTGGGATGTCTTCTTGTTTCATAAAGTAAGGAAATGTCCAAAGATGAGGATATAGCAGAAGGACATAGGAGTCAGCTTGAAGAGGCTCCTGCTAGCCAAATCTGTGGCAATTTCAGCATCAAAATAACGGTAGTAATAGGTTATAACTCACTGAATAAAATAGGAATTTGTGAGTTCAGTGCTTAAAGTCCTAAGTTTGCTGAGGAATGTCATATATGCATTCTCTCAGAGTAACTCTCCCCACTCCCAAATTCTTAGGAATTCAAAGAGAAAATGAGAAACTTCACAGTGGAGAAGTCTGACAGATAACACTTTAACCTAGTGATCAAAATTAATAACATCAGTAATAAGACTGATTGAAGTTATGTACCACGTGATAGGATATGAGAACTCAGCATCATGACTGTGATGCTCCTGCCAAAGATGCAGAACCTCAATCTATTCGTGAAGAAACATCAAGCAACCCCAAACTGAGACGCATTATACAACAAAATAACTGGCCTCTAGTCTTCAAAAGTGTCAAGCTCATGAAAGTCAAGCAAACAGAAGCCTTGATTCTGAACTGGAACCTTTTGCTGTGAAAAGGATCATGGTGGAATGATTGGTGAACCTAGGATTGGATGGTAGTAATGTATCAATGTTAACTTCCTGGTTTTCATAGGTGTAGGACAATGTCATTGTGCATAAGAAATACACAATTTGGAGGTGATGGGCCATTGTGTTGGCAACTAACTTTCAAATAGCTAAGAAAAAATAAGTTATACTATTCTATTCTTGCACTGTTCTCTAAGTTTAAGATTCTTTCAAAATAAAAAAAAAGAATAAAAATTAATGGTGGCAGTGCTGATGGCCTCATACCTTGCTGATACTTTTGGCAACAGTATGTATCAGAAGCCCTAAAAATGTTCATGTTCTGACATTTGTTATTCTGTCCTCAGGGAACAAAAAACTTTGGAAAGACACTTGTATTATGGTATTAAGCAGAACAGTTTCATTGATAACTGTAAATGCAGTGGGTTTTTAACTAGGTACAAAAAAAAAATCATAGAAAAAGATTGGAAGCCCCTTCTCCCATCATTCTTAGCATTAGACCGACAAGGCAGGATGCTTCTGAATGGCCACACATTGGCTGAACTGTTTTTCCATTATTTCTTTCCAATGTCTATTTTATTCTCGGTAACATAATTCCAGCTTCCTTGTTTTCTTTTTCTTTGACCTTAGTTAGCTCGCTGTGCTCCCTCATTCTGCCCTCATCTCAGCCCCTCCTGGCCCCTCTTCCACAGTGCTTCTGCCTGCCTTTGTCCTACTGAGAGCAAGATTTCTTGTGTTTGCTGTGTTGAAAGATTTTTCACAGGTAATGCTGTTGTTCTGTTTCTTTTTCTTTTTTTTTCTTCTTTTTTGAGACTGAATTTTGCTATTGTCACCCAGGCTGGAGAGCAGTGGCATGATCTCGGCTCACTGCAACCTCCACCTCCTGGGTTCAAGCAATTCTCCTGCCTCAGCCTCCCGAGTAGCTGGGATTACAGGCACATGCCACCACGCCTGGCTAATTTTTGTATTTTTAGTAGAGACTGGGTTTCACCACGTTGACCAAGCTGGTCCTGAACTCCTGACCTCAGGTGATCCACCTGCCTCGGCCTCCCAAAATGTTGGGATTACAGGCATGAGCCACCGCGCCCAGCCAGTTCTGTTTCTTTAGCATGATGTTTCCTTTCCCTTTTACTATTCTATTTTTTTTTTTTTTTTAAGTGATGGGGTTTCACTGTGTGGCCCAGGCTGGCCTTGAACTCCTGGGCTCAAGCAATCCTCCCACCTCCGCCTCCCAAGTAGCTGGGACTACAGGCGTGAGCCAGAGTGCCTGGCTGATACTTATTTTTTTATAGACCTCATGTCAATGCTTTTCTGTCCGCCACTGACGGGATCAGCCTAGCCATGACCAGCTCAGCACTCCAGCATTCCAGTTAGCAAGAATGACTGCTTAGGCCTCGATCTCACATTTCAAAATGCTCTCTACTTCCTTAGAACATTAGAAATAAAATTATTATATGATCCAGCAGTTCTCTTTCTAGGTATACACCCCCCAAAATTGGAATCCAGCAGGTACTCGAACAGATATTTGTACACATTTGGTGAGAGCAACCCACGTGTCTATCAACAGATGTATGGATCTACAAAATGTGTGCCACATATAAAATGGAATTCAGCCTTAGAAAGGAAACTTTGACACATGCTATAACATGGGTGAACCTTGAAGACATGCTAAGTGAAATAAGGTAGTTACAAAAGGGCAAATATTGCATGATTTCACCTCTGTGAGGCACCTCATGTTTGAAATTCATAGAGACGGAATGGCGGGTACCAGGATCTGAGGGGAGAGGGTCGGGAATGGAGCGTTATTGTTAATGGGCACAGAGTTTCAGGTTTAGAAGATGAAGAAAGTTCTGGAGATGGATGGTCGTGATGGTTGTGCAACAATATAAATGTACTTTGTAGCCCCTGAAGTGAATACTTAAAATGTTAAATTTTACATTATATATATTTAACCTCAGTTAAACATTTTTTAAAATGCCATACAGTTGTTAGATGGTAGAACATTCAGTGATTAATGCTGAACTTAAAGGAAACTTTCCTGAGATTGTTGGATAGGGGAACTTCTGTTATCTTTAGCTTATAGGACTGTGGCTAGTGGAGTGGCCAAGGGAAAATGTCCCCTTTTTCCTCTGAAGTTTTGCTGAAAATCAGCTGCTAAAGGCATAAAAAAGCATACACGTTTGTTAATGTGCATGAGGGAGAGTCACAGTGATGACCTACCACGCCCTGGGGGACAGATGTATACACCCTTCTTCTTAGGGGAAAGGGAGATGGGGAAGTGTGGATGATTTTAACGGGGTAGGAACTGATTTTTAGGGAATTCAGTGGGCTTGAAGAACATACCATGGCCTGGGACCATCTGTTGGGCCCGCAAAGCAGATAGGAGTCTGTTCAGGTGTGTTGACAGATTTCAGTCTTTGTTCCTGGGATAGGAGTTCAGTTACTGAAGACGCAGGGAAAGAGCCAGAGGTGATTGTTTTCTTCTTTGGCAGGTCTGGGAGTTTGGGCAGATAAGGGAACTCCAATGAACAAGTTCATCGTCTGCTTGGGAGAGAGAGAAGATTGAGAGACAGTGGGTAAAGTGGAAGGCCAGAGAGACCTGGAGGCTTCTTCAGTTCAGGATGTCAAAGCGCTGTATTTTAGGGTATTGGTTTATGAGCCCCAACACTGGATTCTGTACCTTCCTGGGTATTTTAATAGGAAATTAAAAGAAGTTATCTACAAGTCCAAAAGTCTAAAAGTAGCTCTTATCAGACACCTACTATGAATAAATAATCCTTTAAAAATATCCACCATAGCTTTACAAAAGATCTGTTATGGTGTCATTTACCGTATTTTGGAGAACTGGAGACATTAATAATGCGGCTGTGATTAACCACGCTACTAAGTCCTAGAGTCAGGGATAAGCCCGTGACTCTTCGTTCAAAGTTCATAGTTCATGCTGTTTCATGAAACCCCACTTCCTACAGAAAGCATGAATGCAACATTATCTGACCACCAGGAAATCATATAGGCCGCACTTGACAATGTGTTGCTTAGGACAGATACTCACTTTTTTATTTGTTTGTTTGTTTGAGACAGTCTTGTTCTTCACCCAGCCTGGAGTGCAATGCCGCAATCTCGGCTCACTGCAATCTCCACCTCCTGGGCTCAAGCAATTCTCCTGCCTTAGCCTTCTGAGTAGTTGGGATTACAGGCTGCACCACCATGCCCGGCTAACTTTTGTATTTTTAGTAGAGACGGGGTTTCGCCATGTTGGCCAGGCTGGTCTCGAACACCCGACCTCATGATCCGCCCACCATGGCCTCTCAAAGTGTTGGGATTACAGGCGTGAGCCACCACGCCTGGCCGACAGATACTTGCTTTTAATGCAAAATTGCTGATGAAAGCCAAATTCCTCCAATGCCTCTGAACTCTAGGTGATGTATTTTAATTTTTTCCTCTGTATTCTCTTTTTTCTATTTATAAAACAATAAGATACTGTGTACCGTATACCAGAAAGCTTCTTGAGGGTACTTGTCCAACCCTCTCATCTCAGAAAGCAGGAATGTGGATGTTTGATGCTATGTGACAGGGACAGTACAAAAAACACACATCATCTCTTTCTAGTGCTGCTTATTATTTTCTGTGTAATTCTCCGTATATGTGCTCATTGACTTTTATACATTTTTGAGTACTTCTCCAGCTACACATGCCAGACTGTCTAATACCTGGCGTGTCCCTTTAGGCTGGTGATTTACCCATCAGTCAGTTTGATCTCATCCCTGCTGCATTGACGAGATTTTCATTGTTAAATTGCTTTAAAAAAACACCACAGATTCAAAATTAAATAAATGTAACATATCAAACCAATAACTGTTACATTATAGGCTAGAAACCACAGAGTACCTGCTGCTACATTATAAAATTATGTGGCCAGGTGCAGTGGCTCATGCCTGTAGCCCCAGCACTTTGGGAGGCCAAGGCAGGTGGATCACTTGAGGTTGGGAGTTCGAGACCAGCCTGGACAACATGGTGAAGCCCCATCCCTACTAAAAATACAAAAATTAGCTGGACATGGTGGCACGTGCCTGTAATCCCAGCTACTCGGGAGGCTGGGGCACTAGAATCTCTTGAACCCAGGAGGTGGAGGTTGCAGTGAGCCAAGATCGCAGTACTTTACTCTAGCTGGTGTGAAAGAGTGAGACTCCATCTCAAAAATAATAATAAAATAAAATAATGCATGTGAACAAAAAACTGAGCTATAGATATTGAATGAGGAATTCTTGACATGGCACTTTTCTCCTATTTAAAGCTCACACAAAAACCCTAGGAAACGTGGTCTTGTCTTCTCGGCACATGTGAGAATGGTCCTGACTTCTGTGTTTTCCTTGTGGGAATGTAAGACCTGTTTCTGTTGATTCCTTTCAAATATGGAGCATGCTCTTTTGTAGCAGAAGAGTGAAAACAGCGCCTACCAGAAATGTCAGTACAGTAGAGTGCTTTTCTTGATGTGAATTAAGATTTCTCAGAACTTCGCTTTCTCAGTCATTTGCCCAAAGTGTGCCCCAGGACCTTGTAGTGTATCCTTTCTCTTGTATGTGTGGCAGGAATGGGTGGGTGACAGACATGTATATGATAATTGAGGATCAGAACATATGTGATGGAGTCGATTTTCCTTCTGCCTTTTCCCTGCTTTGCTGTTTCCTCAAGGGAAATGATGCCTGTGCATAGACTATTGTGTGGGGAGGGGCGTGGGTATGGGGAGAGTAGCACTTGGTGAAACTGCATTTACACAAATCTCAATGTTTTCCTGCATGCATTTGCATTTACTACATAGGAACATATGCACACGCTGTCGATAGAGGCGGTTACAAAACTGTTAATGCCTCCTGGAAGGTGAAATCACAAACTGCAAAGGTTTCTTGCCAGGGAAAATGTAGAAATGACACTGCCACCTGTTGTTTAAACCAGAGAATTGCTACAAGTTCTGTTGCACCCATGAAGGGGGCAAATGCTGGGAGTAGATTTCTCCTCTCTCCTCACGTGGAAACTCTACTTATTTATTGATAACCGGTACATTTGCTATAAAATAGTCTATCAAATGTGGGTTTTCACAGTGTGAAATAAGAGGAAAATAATTTATTGAAAACATGCTTGGGTCTTTATTGTCATGGTGTGTGGTTTTCAACGCTTTATGTAATGGAGCCTAAGGCTTTCTATTTTGTGTAGTTTTTCCCTCAAGAAGACAACAAAGGAATTTCTCTTCCTTATGCTAATGGTGGATGAAAAGGTAGGAAAGTACTTGGGGCTAGTGTCGTTGGCTTATGTTCAGTCATCGAGCAAGCAGTTGGTAGCCAGTATCAGTGGATAATGATATTGACAGCCAGTACCAGCAAGCAATTGGTAGCTGGTATCAGTGGACAATGATATTGACAGCCAGTACCAGCAAGCAATTGGTAGCTGGTATCAGTGGATAATGATACTGACGGCCAGTATCAGTTTCATTTGGGTGTCTGATGAAAAACTTAGTTCTTCTGCAGTGAGGAAAGGGTAGCTATTGAGGGTACTAAGAGCTGGTGTTCAGTTTGTGTAGTGGAGCAAGCGTAAACTTAGCAAGATAAGGAGTTTGTGTGTGATCATGCAGATTTCAGTGAGTTATCAATCCACTTTAATGCTAGAGCCAGTGCCCCTCCACCCATATTAATTAGTTATGCCATTCTCCTATGTGAATTACCATGGCATAAGTTAGTGGTTTTAACAGAGTTAATGAACTCTGTTGAGATAGCTGGGTCAGAAGGCAGCTAACTAAGAGGGAGCTTGCACTGGGGCCTTTGTAAGTAGGAATTCCCACTCACAGCATCGACAGTGGTCTAGGTGATTTTTAAATTCTCCTCCTTTTTATGTCCTTTTTCTAAATTTTACAGGCACATAGGCCAAACCTGTAGTGTTCACTTTCTGACCATGAAAAACCGTTATGAATAATGTTCACTTTCTGACCATGCTAAACCATTATGAGTAAACTTTAAGTCATCTTATTGAGGATTGACACCAGCTGATGATTCCTATATTGGTATTTAAAATTCCAGAAAGTCAAAGCTCAGGCAGAATAGTAAAAGAAAATGAAATAATATGAAGTCCCAGAGAGGAGGAAGGTGGTGTTTGAGGAGTGTTTTTCAACCTTTGGCAATTTCTTCAGCTCTTAGGGCCTTGATTTCCCCATCTATGAAATGGGGAATTCAGATCACAAAAGTTTTGAGGTTCCTTCTGCCTATCATTTTGTTGATGTATTTGAAACTTATCTTGCTAATACACCATTAGATCTCTAAATTTGTAATACGATTTAAAATGTAGATTTCTAGTCCCAATGTGGTGCTAGACTTCGCTCTTCCTGGGCCGCATATGGGGACAAGATGACGTCTTCAGCCGTCTTCAAACCCTGTGACTCTGGAAGCATGTTATATGTCCTTCCTATGTAAGAAAGTATCCAAGTTTTCCTAGGAGACTGTCAAACTAGGATAAGCACACCTTTCCTTGGGGAAACACCATCTTTCCTTAACCTTCTTTAGCTTAATGTTTTTGATATTCAGCACATACTATCTAAATAGATGACGCAGATATCCATAGACACCATGCCATAGTTAATATCTAATGCCTTCTAACAGCTACATATGGAACAATTATTTTAGCCCTCTAAACCTTAAGATTGGATGAGTTTGCCTTTTAATCCAAGAAATATTTTGGGATGAGAAGTCAACTTTTCCCCATTTTTCCTTGTCTTTCCTATTTGGACTTTCTCCGTCACACTGTTCGTTTAATGAATAAGCAAAGATAACTCAGCTGCTTGCCAAAAATGCACTCAGATTTCTCCTGCAAACACTCATTTTTAAGTAAACCAAAGTAGTAGGAAATGAAGAAAACAGAGAGGGAGTTTATTAAATTATGTTTAGGCTTTCTTCCTGGCATCATTGGGCTCTGGATACATGTTGATCAATTCTTATCCATGAGTACATCACGCTAGAGTTTTAGGTCTTTCTCTGCATGGAGAAGCTTCATCTCTGGTGTGAGGTCTGGTAGTGAACTGATGAAGGAGAGGAGAAAACAAGAGCAGGGGGTCACTTTTTAAAAGTCAATTTTTATCCTGCTGTGATTGAATTGTTGCCCCAATAGACAGAGCATACGATTCTGTATTGTTTCTCAACAGAGAACTAGAAGAAGTAAAGAAACTTCTTATGACATTCACAAACACAATTTCTACTGTTATGTTTTAAAATATTGGGGTTTTTGTTGTTTTTTTGTTTTTGTTTTGTTTGTTTGTTTTTTGAGATGGAGTCTTGCTCTGTTGCACAGGCTGGAGTGCAGTGGCGCATTCCCAGCTCACTGTGACCTCTGCCCCCTGGGTTCAAGCGATTCTCCTGCCTCAGCCTCCCTATTAGCTGGGCATGGTAGCACTCACCTGTGATCCTAGCTACTCAGAAGGCTGAGGCAGGAGAATTGCTTGATCTCACGACACGAAGCGGAGGTTGCAGTGAGCCGAGATCACGCCACTGCACTTCAGCCTGGGCAACAGAGCAAGACTCCATCTCAAAAAAAAAAAAAAAAAAAAAAGATCTTACATGAGACAACGTCATATTCCAATAGCTTCTTCTACTTCATTCTAGTTACTCTGCCTGGGGTCACAACAATAATTTTGAAGGTATTTTAATGTCTTTCTCCTTTTTTAAATAAGGAGAATACTAAGACCTGATTGGAGAGACTTGCCTTACGGCTCTGGCCATCTGCAGTGTTGGAAGTAGATGATCTAACTTGAATCTAATATTCTTTCCACTATATGATATATACACAAACCAGTATTGCCTTTTGCGTTGTTACCCTTTTATGTACGTGTGTGTATGTGTATACACACATACATGTTACAAAGTAATCAAGTCCCAGTTAAAAATATATATTCACAAATATTTCTGTGACTTCAAAAAATGTGAAGACTCTTAGTTTAGACAAAAATGCATTAAAGTTAGGATTGTAGACTCTTCCTAGAAACAGAAGGGACACTGTAGATAAGAGTAGGTGGTGTCCTCTAGCTTCAGGCTATTTTGCATCAAAAACAACCTAGACAAATCACGTATACTTTGTATATGTTAGTATAGCCCCCAATACATGAATTCCAACCTGTATTGCTGACTTCGCTCCTACAGTCTGCAGCATTGTGAGCGCCTTGAAGGATGCTATATTAAAGTACTTTGAGCGTGGTTTCACATTATGGCCCAACGATACACACCTGTCGATTTTTGCTGGTTTTACCACCATTATTTTATATAGTTATCATTTACTGAGTGTTGACTATGGGCCAGTCGTTTCATAGCAGGCCCGTTTTTCATATTTTGCAGCTAAGAGGAGGAAACCGAAGCCAAGTGACTTGCCCAAGGCCACGCTGCTAGCAAGCGGTACGGCTGGCACTTGAACTTGAGTCTGTGACTCCAGAGCCGAATTCTTCATCCCCGGACTCTCCTGTCTCACCTGGGGAAGGTGCTGAGGTGTCTCAGAGGATTTACCTCACTCTGCAGGCCTAAACAGAATTAATCCTGTGGTTTAGTGTCTTAATAGGGATGCTGAGGGCAAAGGAGAGGCTCTTATTTTCAAAACAAATGACTTTGGCAGCATGAAAAAACGAAACCGAGAAAATTGCCAGCACCAAGCTTTGTGTGCAAACACTACTGCTTTGTTCCCCGGTGTTGAGACTCCTCATTAAACAGCTCCCTCCCTGCGTTGCTCGAGAAAGGAAAGGAAAACTTCAGAGGTACGGCTACTCCCCAAGCGCTGTTGCTGCCAGAGCCTCTAGTATTTATTTTTCAAAATTTTAAAAATAGTCATGGCATTCTTACAGCTCTTATGCCCTCCAGGATCCCAGCCGACTTCTAAGTACAGAAATGTTAATGGGCCGAGGGAGGGGAAGCCCAGAGGGCAGATCACCTCCCAGAAACTCAGGCTAAGCCAGTCCTCGGCTGAGAGGAGTTCTGCTTTCAGTGAGGCCCACCTTTATTTCTTATTTACGTCGCATTACAGGATGTGTCAAGAGCCCTTAGACATCCTAGGCAAGTGGTAACTGATGTTTCTCCAACACCGCTCTGTGCGTCTGTGGATAAGGACACAGTTTCTCCGAGGCCTTTCAGAATACAATGCACAGGTTGTGTTTCTTCATTACCATTGAGGTTTGGAACCTCTGGCTATTTCAGCCTTCCATTCTTGCCCTGTTTACAGGTAAGGAAAGGCTGAGAGAAATGAAGGGACTTCATTTTTGTCACATCGCTTGTGATACCATTAGGACCTCCTCCAGATGGCTGTCTTCGTAGGACAGTAGTCTTTCTTTGGCATCACTTTGTTGAAGCCCCTATGGTAGGGACTATGACTTAAACACTTTTCCTTTGGTGTAAAAATCACAGCCTTCTTATCCATGGGGAATGGATTGTTAACTGATTACTGTCATTTTTAAATATTTCAGTTTAGTTCTTTTCTAATGCATTTAATCCTGTTTCCCACGTCTGAGTACAAATTGCCCCACAGTATATTTTTTGTCATGCCCTACTGCCTTTTTTTTTTTGGTCAGGGTCTGGCTCTGTTTCCCAGGCTGGAGTGCAGTGGTGTGATCACGGCTTACTGCAGCCTCAACCTCCCAGGCTCATGTGATCCTCCCACCTCAGCCTCCTGAGTAGTTGGGACTACAGGCATATGGCACCATGCCTGGCAAATTTTTTTTTTTTTCTATTTTTGGTAGAATGGGGTTTCGCCGTGTTGCCCAGGCTGGTCTCAAACTCCTGGACCCAAGTGATCCACCCACATAGACCTCCCGAAATACTGGGATTACAGATGTGAGCCACCATGCCCGGCCTCCTTCTGCCTTTTCTTTAGTCCTTTCATCTCCTTTTATTCCCCTAACTCTTCCATCTCTCCCCCTACATGAAACCCAAAGTGCCAGGTGAATGAATCTCATTTATTAAGGTGAGATCAGAGAGTTGTCTCTGCAAGTAGATCATTGACCAGGGAGCTGACTCCAGACTCCCTTTCACGAGGCACCCAAATCTTTCCCTTCTGGGAAGAGAAAGCACCTCATCCCATCCTTCATGGCATCAGTTTTCCTCTTGAATAGAAACCTCCCACAAGGCCAAAGACAAACGCACATGCTTCAGAGTCTTGCTTTCTACGGATTGGGAAGGATAAGTTACGGTCCTGTGGGATGGGTAGCAGAGTGCTGCCTGATAATCCCTAGAGAAGGATGTCAGGCCCCAGTCGTGGCCGCTTCTCCAGCAGCCTCTTTAGAATGTGGGGAGTTGATCACTTTCTGTCCTCAGCTTCGGGCCTTAGCCTCAGTTCTGGCCCAGGAGAGGAAGCCCCTCTCAGCAGCACCTCAGAACAGAACCGTGTAACAGGAAGGAAGGGAGGAGTGAGCAGGATTGAGCAGTCCAGCTCCTGCCCATGCCTTTTCTCGAGCTCTGGCTGTGTCTGCTCTTAGATTTCATAGTGCTAATTGGTTTTCATGTTTTAGAGGCTCCAGGCTCCTTGATCTTGTTTGTTATGGAGTCTTCAATAGCCCCGCGATTATGTGTTCATGATTACGTTAAGCACAGTTAATATAGCTGTGGGGTCTGCGTGGAGGGCTCCTTCCGAGACAGCTCACCTCCCTGTGGTGTGTGTCCCTCTGTTCTCAGTGGGCTGAAAGACAGGGCAGTTTTGTTAGGCGAGACAGGTCAGTATTTGGCACTTGATGTCTTTTAAATTGTCTCTATTCACACATCAGGAAGGCTGCAGCTGATTTCCATTTATTTTTTAGTTTTTTAAAAAATCTTCTGAGAATAAGTCAGAATTATACAGGGGCTGCATATCACTTTCCAGCTTTCCCCCTAACTTTGTAAGTATGTGGGGAAAGACAGATGTGCAGTAAGGGCTTCTCACATTATCACCCAGGAGTTCCGTCTGGGAAACAGGGAGCACGTCCCAGTTCCCCTTTGGTAGGAAGAGGAACCTACGTGGGTCCAGCCTGGATATCCCTGGACTGTTCCTCACCACCCGTGTCTCCCCTGTCCCGCCCCCCGCCGCCCCTCCAGCACCCCAGCCCCTCCAACATCCCAGTCCCTCCAACTCGCTCATCAGTTTTAAGGTAGAATAGCAAGGCGGGCTCTTCCTACAAAGTAGATTTTTACTTTAACAACTTTAAAATCCACTTTGGGGCTTTGGGGGACCATGACATATAGGTTAGATTTCTTTTAGCAGTCAGGACGTGGTTGTGCTTTCAACACAAACATCAAATCACCGTCTTTAATTTTTAAAACCAATCCTAAAACAGTGTAGTAGAATTGCTTCCCAAATGTCAAGATCCCGCCTTTTCTCCCCTTTCAATATCTAGCTGTCTTCGGAGTATATAAAACCCATTCACAGAGCTTGGGAACAATTAGGTTCTCAAACTCCACATCTCATATGGAGGCCAATTGAAGATGAACATCTTTAAATGTCAAGAGGTGTGTGTTCTGGCCTGTAACCACGGCTCCATATGTGTGCTGGTTCTGACAGGGGCCCTAAATTCAGTGACGACGTCTGGTAATGATTGAGAGTGACTGCTGACTGGAGGTTTGAAGGACCTGGCTTCCCCCACTTTTTCTTTCTTTATCCCTTTTGCAGTTTTCATAGGATTCTCTGTTTGTGAGAGGATTCTGCAGTAAGCAGGTACTTGTGTTTTGCTTTTATAACATCACTGTAAGCGTGCCCCTTTACATGCTTAAACTATGCCCATATGACTCTCTGCAGAAAACTGGACCTGTTTCCTAGGCCCTGCTGTATTCCAGCTGAGAGGAGGCATAGGACATACCAAGGGAGTTTTGATTTGCTTATCCTCACATCCTCTAATTTAATGGGTAGCCCTTTATAGAGACAGGTGACTATCCGCATTTTAGATGAGCAAACCAATGTTCAGGGAAGTTGCCCAAGGTCAGAGAGCTAGTTAATTGAGAAACCAGGATTGAAAATCAAATCCAGTTCCAAGTACAGCGTTGGCTCCACCATATGTGATGGTCTTCCAGCTGTAAGCGTTTGCTTTGCTACTGTGAGAAACATTTATACTTGTCTGCTGAGTCATAGGGCAATGGGAATATTTTTGGCTTGCTCTATCTGGCTAATTAAGCAATGGCAGTAAGATAGGCAGAGCCCACATTTTTGAGGTTTTTCTTTGTAACCAACATTCTTCATGTAATGTTTCCCCCTTAAAATGTTAAAATTAGGCCAGTCCCAGTGGCTCATGCATATAATACCAGCACTTTGGGAGGCCAAGATGGGCAGATGGCCTGAGCGCAGGAGTTTGAGACCAGCATGGGCAACATGGAGAAACTCCATCTCTAGAAAAAAATACAAAAAAATTAGCCAGGCATGGTGGTGCACGCCTGTAGTCCCAGCTACTCGGGAGGCCGAGGTGGGAGGATCAGCTGAGTCCAAGGAGGTTGAGGCTGCAGCGAGTCATGATTGCACCACTGCTCTCCAACCTGGGTGACAGAGTGAGACGCTGTCTCAAAAAAAAAATTATTATCCCTTATTCTTTTATTTCTTATAGTGTCTGTAGCATATAGGCCTCCCCAGGGAACAGTGCTGTCCATTTTCTGGGTTGCCCTGCCTCAACACAACTCTCCAGACCACCCTCTGTCTGGCCTCAACCCTACGTAACCCTTTGTGTGCACATACATTCCCTGGGCTCCCAAGGATAGAGCCTCTTGCATGAGGAAGCTGGATGAAAGCCTGGAAAGGTTATTTTGTTTAAATTCTTACCTTGAAGTTCCTTTGGTGAGGGAGCCAGCCTGGAAATCATTCCAGAACAGTCGTGTTTCATAGTTACAGTGTAATCGGGAGGCTGTCATTCATGGCCATTAAATTGCTTCCTTTGAAGTATAAGAAAAACCAGGACAACTTTTATGGCCCTTTAACCCACAGGATTGTAGTACACATGAATGAAAGTCAAGTGTGTTGTGGACTCTTGCAGGTACTGTGGCTGGCAGAATTCCATCTTCACCCTGGTGCTCATTCATTGGTTGACTTTCAAGTGAAAACTGGGGTGAGCGGTATCAGAATCTTGGAAGGCTTTTCTTCTCTCTCTTTTTTGCATTTTTATAAAACAAATCAGAAATGAGGAGTCTTATTTTGTAGCTTGACTAAAAATGAGAATTATTATTTCTCTGGTAGATCTCTTTGGGGCTGGGCAGCACCTTCTAGATGTTAGCACTGTGCTGGCCATTTTGCGTACCGATTTCCATTTAATCCTCACAGCAATCCTATGAAGTCGGTAGGCTCATTCCCATTTTACAGATAGGAGACAGGCTTGAGAAGGCCCCTTAGTAAGTGGCGGTGCCCGAATTCCAATCGAGGTCTGAGCCAAAGCATGTGGTTTTGCTCCCATGCCCTGTGGCTTCCCAGAACTCATACCTGAGCTTATATAACAGAGGAACATTGGTGGAGCCCCAAGTCGTGGGTCCCAGTATCTCTAGGATAATCACTTGTGTAATAAATCACTTAGATTTACACGACTGTATTATATTTTGTTCTTAAGAGAATCACATGGGAAAACTGTGGAGAAAGAAAGGCAACAAAGTAAATATTAGTGTTTAATGACTAGATGTGTGAGATATTTATATTACATATTATAATAAATTTAATGCTTCATGACATTGATCTGTATGTAATTTAAAGAGATGCTCAAAATTCAGATCATTGGAATAATAAGCAAGGTAGTTTTACATTGCTGAAAAAGGTACATCTAAAGGCAATGTATTTCTTATTGAAAATTTTGTTGATAGCTGAGCCGTTCAAAATGGGGTGGGAAGAGATAAAAAGGAATGGGGAGGGAATCTTTCAGTATGTGGATTGTAAAGTTACTCTACAATTGTTCTGAGAGGAGATAATCCATAGGACGTAACAATGTGTGAACTTCAGCTGTCCATATTCCTCAATAATATATCCTGTCACCTGTATTTATTGCCTGGAATTGTTGCAAGACGGAATTAGTCCTAAAAGAGTTTGATTAGGTCATGATAAGTCCCACCGCTCCACCAGATGGCGCTGTGGTAGCATAGCTACACCTGATGCCCCTGCCAGAGGTTTGAGAAGCAGATGACAACCTTCTGTGGGGATCCTCCAAAGCCTAATGACCTGTGAATTGGAGCCCCACAGAACAATAGAGTTTTTCCCCTTTCTGGTTCTGGGTTCGGTTCTTCTGTGTGCCTACACATCTTCACTTGGCATTTCTTCGCCCCTTTACCGTCTTTCCCTCCGCCTCTTCCATCATATCTCTTCCCTGCTCACCAATCCTCCTACCTACAACCTTTCTCTTCTCTGCCTTATCCTTCAGACTTCTTTTCTCTTTGGTGAGTGTAGAACGCACTTACATCGTGCGGTGGTAAACTGAGATGTTTCCGTGTGAGCCATGCAGTGAGGCCGAAGAATGGGTTGGGAACTACTGTAAGAGGAGGTGGCCGGGCGCGGAGGCTCAGGCCTGTGATCCCAGCACTTTGGGAGAGGGAGGTGGAAGGATCACTGGAGCCCAGGAGGTCGAGGCTGCGGTGAGCGATGATTGCACCACTGCACTCTAGGCTGGGTGACAGAGCAGGACCCCGTCTCTAAAGAAATAATAATGGGCCGGGCGTGGTGGCGGGCGCCTGTCATCCCAGCACTTTGGGAGGCTGAGGCGGTCGGATCACGAGGTCAGGAGATCGAGACCATCCTGGCTAACATGGTGAAACCCCGTCTCTACTAAAAATACAAAAAATTAGCCGGGCGTGGTGGCGGGCGCCTGTAATCCCAGCACTTTGGGAGGCCGAGGCGGTCGGATCACGAGGTCAGGAGATCGAGACCATCCTGGCTAACATGGTGAAACCCCGTCTCTACTAAAAATACAAAAAATTAGCCGGGCGTGGTGGCGGGCGCCTGTAATCCCAGCACTTTGGGAGGCCGAGGCGGGTGGATCACGAGGTCAGGAGATCGAGACCATCCTGGCTAACACGGTGAAACCCCGTCTCTACTAAAAATACAAAAAATTAGCCGGGCGTGGTGGCGGGAGCCTGCAGTCCCAGCTACTCGGGAGGCTGAGGCAGGAGAATGGCGTGAACCCGGGAGGCGGAGCTTGCAGTGAGCCGAGATCGCGCCACAGCACTCCAGCCTGGGTGACGGAGCGAGACTCCATTTAAAAAAATAATAAAATAAAAAGGAGGTGGTCATCTTGCCCGTCAGACCGGAGTCTCCTCACAACTGGCATGCGCTTCTCAGTGGACTTATGACTTGTTCCTGCAGTGAATTTGGCAATGTCTCAAAAATGATGGGTTTGGTTCTAGTAAACAGAATCGTAAGGAAGATAGGGACTCTGCAATTACAGTGGTGGATGTGGAAAGTATACAAAGTATCTGTGATCTCTTGGGGATCGCCCAGAACCAGAGCTGGAAACCAGAGCTGGAAGACTGGCGGCCGGAGAATCTGTCAAAATCTCTTGTTCTGAACAAAGGAAAGAGATCCAGAGGATCCCAGGTCTCTTTCTGGCCAGTTTAATGCTCTTCTCTGAGTAGCTGCCAGCTCCCAAAAGGCAGAGCATTGATATTCAAAGAAAGGAACCATCTGTGAATGTTATTTACTGTAGGGTCTGCAATTCTGAAAATTATCAGCCAGGGCAATGACCCCTGTTTGACTATCATTTGTAGTTCAAAAAGAGGATCATGGAAAACATTTAAACTATTTTCTGTCTTCCCCATAAAATGTTAGTCATTTATGTATAGGATTATTATTGTTTCCGTCTTCAAACCACAGCTCGCAGAGCCAGCGACCACATGATGAGAAACAGCCATGCTTCTTAGATTTTGGCAAGGGTGGCTAATGTAAAAACGGCCCATCTCCAAAACATGATGGATGCCACATACCCCATGGTTTCCAGGATGAAGCCAGACACTGTCTCTTCCATAGTACCTGGAGCAAGGAGAAACTTTCAAAAACATCTGCACCCTATAAGGTTGAAGATGGGTTGGCAAGAGGAGGACGTGCTTGTGGGAATCATACTTGTAGGTAGGCAGACGTGTTTGGACTTGCCTGGCATATTTTTCTCCTTGGAGCAATTCATCTTCTCTTGACATAAAACTTTCTCACTAGTCAGAAGCAACACTTTCCGAGATGTCATTTAATTCACACTAACAAATTACAAGGAACTTCAGGTGAATAGGTGGGAAGGCAGCGTTTGGAGCTAGCCCGATAGGATCCTAAATATGGTTCTGTCTGTTGGCCTTAGAGTATCATTTGCATCAGTCTCGTTTCCCTCCTCGTCGGGGGCGCAGGACAGCGGCCTCATTTCGTAAGACTTGAGTGAAGTGGTGTAAATGGGCTGATAATTGGTGGGCTTCTTCTTACCATCACAGAACTTTAGAAATTAAGGAAAACCTTACTCGGACAAAATAAAGCAGTCTCTAAGTTAGCTAGACTTTCGATCTATGTGGAATGTAGAAATGTGATCTTCTGTTTCCAAACACTCCATATGTCATAAGTCAAGATGTGGCTTTAGCAAATACTCACTGATAGATATGTTCTGTTAGATACGTTCTCTGTCTTCCAGCATCTTACAGTTTACTTGACAAGGTGAACTCAGCGAATCACCAGTGATGAGTGTAAGGCTTGTAGGCCTTGTATTTTAGTCTCTGTTATCTTGATTAGTGAGCGCCCTGGAAATGAAACTCCTTAATAACTGTTTTGGCCATGATGCAAAATAAAAGGTCATCATTGAACTGTGTGTATGGTGGTGTCCAGGGGAGGGGGAAACAGAGAGAAGTCCTGTGTGGTCCAAAGGGGCTTTTTAGAGTCTGGAGAAGGTTTGTGTCATTTTTGGTTTAGGGGCATGGTTGATGCTATGGGACATTCTAGAGAGAAATGGAAGGTGGACGCCCCCTGCAGACCACAGCCCTTTCTACCCCAGTGGGAGAGAAGGGAAGGAAGTAATATCCTATCTCCATCTTCACATTCTGTTTTTTTTTCTTCCATGTTCCTTTTTTCTCCTGTCTCCTTTTCCTTTCTCCTTTCTGTTGTCTCTTCCCACCCCTTCTGGGAAGAACAGAAAAAAACCGACACTTATCGGTGCCCTGCCATGTGTCATCATCTTGCCAGCTTAAGGGTAAGAAAGAGGGTGGGGCACAAGGAGCCGAGTAGCTGTGTAGATTTGTCTACAGCCTGGCAGTCACAATGCCTCCATTGAAAACCCAAGCCGCATGATTTATATATCTTATCATCATCACGAATTTTTATTCTGAGAAACTAGGCAAGAGAAAACATCTTCAGTCAACCATTACTGAGTGTAAACTAGGAGTCAAGAACAGTCATAGCCTATCTCATTTAGCTTTCTTAACCCTGTGAAGTAGGTATATTATTCCAATTTTATAAAAGAGGAACTAGGATTCAAAACGTTGAGTGAACTAGCCAGCATGTTCCCTGGTGCCTAGCAGGTACTCATTACATACTCGCTAAATGAAGAAGTAAGCAAAGTAAGTCATTGAGCCAGGATTTTAAAGCAGATTTTATAACCTCGAGTTCCGTGCTCTTTCTGCTTTATTGTTTGTTTTCTGGGAGAGACTTGGGTGAGCCTAAAAGATCAGTAGTATCCTGTACTATTTATGGAACAATTAATATTTGACTTTTGAAATAAGAATGCAGTATGTTGGTTTCATTAGTCTTTATCTCTCTTTCTCTCTCTCTTGCTTTAGGTAGTATATAATTGTTTATACATCCCTATCCTTAAATCCTTTTTCTTTCTTTCTTTTTTTCTTTTTTTGACTCACTCTTAGGTCTTTTATACTGGCAACCAGCTTAGTTGTTTAAAAACATAGATTCCAGGTCAAGAGTTTCTGGGTTTAAATCTAGGTTTTGCCATGTCTTGCTCTGTGATCTTGGGCAAGATACTTAACCTTGCTGGTTTTCAGAATTATTAACTTTAAAATGAGGATAATAATAAAAACCTACATCAAGGGGTTCCCATGAAGGTTATACAAGTTGTTATATGGATAGCACCCAGAACAATTCCTGGCACAGAGTAAATACTATCTACATGCAGTTAATATGGCAGCATTGCTAATGTTATTATTCTGTGTGCTTTTTGCAATCTTCCCCTTTTATTTCTTAAGCTCTTATTTTTTTTTTATTTCCACCTTGTTTTCTTCTTTATAGTTTGGTTTCATGTTTGGTTGTTTTTGTGGGTTTTTTTTGGTGGTAAAATATATCTAACATAAAGTTTGTGATTTGAATGATCTCTGAGTGTATAATTCAGTGATATTAATTACATCCACAGTCTTGTGCACCATATCTATTTCTAAGTTTTTCCTTACCTCAGAGAAATTCCTACCCCGTGAAGCGACAATCATCCACTCCCCTTTCACCTCAACCCTGGACACCACCAATCTGTTTTGCGTCTCTGTGAGTTTGACTACTCTCAGAACCTCTCGTAAGTGGAATCACACAGTATTTGTCCTTTTGTGTCTGGCTTCTTCCACTTAACATAATCTCTTCAAGGTTTGTCTGTGCCGTAGCATTATTAGAATTCCTTTCCTTTTTACGGCAAAATATTATTTTCTGTCTACACCACATTTTTTCTGTTCATCTGATGACGGACCCTTGGGATGTTTCCACTTTTTGGAAATTGAATAATGTTCGATGAACATTGGTGGGCAAGTATCTGTTGAGTCGCTGCTTTCGTTTGCTTTGGGCATATACCGAGAAGCAGAATTGCTAGATCGTTTGGTAGTTTAACTTTTTCAGGAGCATCCAGACTGCTTTCCACAGCAGCTGCAGGAGTTTGCATCCCCACCAGCAATGCACGAGGATTCCAGTTTCTCTACATCCTCACCAATATTTACTTTTCATTTCTTTTGTAATAGCCCTCCTAATGGGATGGGCATGTGGTTGTCACATGGAAATATTGGCTAGTAAATAAAAGGAGGAAAAATTGAAAATTGAAGAATCAAACGGTGCTTCAGACATGAGTCCCTAGTCAGGTCACTGACTTAGAATTATTTATTCAGCAAGAATCATGTCTCTGTAGGAGCTATCACGTTCCAAAACCTCTGGGAGCTCAGAAAATGAAGTTTCATTGTACTCTTTACCCAGGGTTAAAGATCTCCATTCCCTCCCCAAGGGTGGGTAAGAGATGAGTGGGGTGCCACCGAAGCAGGGGCTGATAGCAGGAAGATACTTCCTTATCTTTATTTCTTTTGATGAAGCACTGTGAGCCAAGCCTCAGAGGAGCCAGCCTGTGACTGTACATTTTGGAATCTGTCTGCTCACAGGTGTTGGCAGGCCCTGGTCCTGGTCCAGCACAGCGTTTTCCCTGGAGGAATGCCATGCTTTGAATTTCCTTGTCTACAGACTGTGTTATTGTCCAGCCTCTCAGTGGGATCAGAAAGAGGTTGGTTTGTCTGGCAATTGCCAGAACAGTGCCTATCCGTGACCTCTTGTCTGAGCATCTGCCAGAGAAAGCTGTGATCTCTCCAGGGAAGTGTAGGGCTTGAAGACACACTTAGCAATGGCTGATCTTTCTCCCAGCAGTTCTGATCACTCCCTGACCATCCTCACATCCTGCCTTTGTCCTTCCCCCTTTGTCCTAAAGTGCTGTCCGCTGCCGTGACTGTGTCTTGTTTCCCTGGTGGTGGTGGAGGTGCTGAGGTCTGGGGAAGGGTTGGGAATCACGATGGTGGGTGCAGGGCTTGCTCCTCTGTGTAACTGCATAGCCTGCTGGCCTGGAGAAAGTCCTTTCCTGCACAGCACTGCCTCTCACCACCCTACCCCAGCCAGCCAGCCCACATCTTGGTTTTCCTCAGGGGAGATAATCCCTGCCACTGCTGATTCACGGCTCCAAGGAAGTGAAATCATGTGAGGTGAAACTGCATTGCTAGCCAAAAAAATAGTTTTTCTTAATAATGTCTATCAGAAGCATGTTGAGGAGGAAGGATGTCTTCTGTGTCTCCCAGCAGCAAGCGTGCTGAAATAGCAGCTCAGTAGATGCTCAATGAATTCCAGTTGAAAGAAAGATGCTCGTACTTCTGATTTCACAATGAAGTTGATTTTCTGGGGATCACTCCCCAGTTGACATCCCCCCTGTCTGAGAGTAACACTCAGTTGCTTTGACTGTCTTTTAACAAATTGATCTTTTTCTCCTGTTCCTTTTGCTTCTCTCCCTAAAGGGGTTCCCCATATTTGGCATCATTAAATAAATTCATTAAGTGTCCCGTCGTGTAGGGCCAGTGTTTCATTTCGTTAATTAAAATCCATGCCCTGAACTGAGTTCGGAAGCCCTAAGAGCCAGAGCAGACTGCGAGGCACCTGCGGAAAAACGCAGCATATGCGCATACCCTAGACACAGACGTCATGGTGTTCCGCACCAGCGACGTCGCCTCAGTGCCAATTCATAAATCAGAACTTCTCTGAGATGCAGGTCATGTTCTGGGGCCGACTTCTTCATGGAAAGCACAGAGGCATCTTGCTAAAGAAGAGGAGGAGATGGAGGAAGTGTAAAGCTGGGGCTGGTAAATAAGTCCCTCTCCCTCCCCCACGTTCCCCTCCCATAGGCTTTGAACTTTCTGTGTTTCTGTAGGTGTCCCTAGTTTGGATGGGGACACTGGAAAGCTAGCCAGCTCTTGTTCTGTTGTTGCACTTCATTTGTTTTGGGCTTTTAAATACTGGGCTTGGCTTTATTTGTTGGAGTTACGCCTCTACTTTGCATTTCATAGGTGAAGTTAGAGGCAGTATTGTGTCTTCTGTGAGTTAACATTCACCAGATAGTTACTGAATTTTTACTCTGTGCCTAGTAGTCTTCTAGGCTCTGGGAATGCATTAGGTAACTTGATAGATGTGGTCCTGGCCTAATGAGTATGTGTCTATTTGTTCAGTTTTCAAGGGGTTAGAGCACAGTGTTTAAAATAACACCTGTATCATGAATTCTATTCTATATAAACCCATTAGCATTGCATGGAGAAAAGGTCCATTCATCACAACACATTATACCCCTAATCCCAGCCCACTGGTTGGCAGGTGTGTGCCATTGATCTCAAGAGTCTAGGGAAGTTATGAGCTGCCCTGGACAATTTGTCACCCATCAGCCAACAGCTTTTTATTTAGCATCCTCTATGTGGCTAGCAACATATAGAAAATCGTTTCAGAATTTATGCCCTGCCAATGCTCTTTTCATTAGAGCAGCACAATCTGTGGTCTTTTTAGTCAGAGAAGATGGCTTCTCTATATGTATTTATGAAATTAAACAAGAAACATTTCTTCCATTGGGCATTCGTTGTTAACTGCCAGGAGGATTTTAGGTGTTGGGAAGTTAAATATTATAATGGGTATAAAACTCAGTCCCCAAACTCTAATGTGCCAAAAATAACATTTCATTTTTTTTTCTATACATCTGCCCAATTTCTGGCTGATTGTCTTTCCACTGGTGTGGTGGAAAACTTCATCTCCCTTCTCAGGGTTCTGGGCTCATCCCCAGGACCAAGCTGTTAGGGGCATGGCTCTCTTGGCCTGCCCCCTGTGCATGTCTATTGGCTCTCTGATGCATCCTTGCCACACATAGGACTCAGGAGTTGCATGTGTCTCTGTCTATCCAAATCCCCCTCCTGGGGAAGTTGTGCTTCTGGGTGGCAGCCCTGCTTAGAACTGGGGCCTAGGCCCCTGCTCCGTCAGCCCTGCAGGCTGCATTAGTCTCTCCCCCACCCCCTACTGCATCCCAGATTTTGCAGATGGTTTCTGCTTTCTCTACTGCCACATGCCTCCCCTGAGGCACTGAGCAGAGTCTGATCTGTGGGAGAAAAAGAAAGGCAATGCAAAGAGAAGAGCACAAATTGATATCTTGAAATATCATCCAGCCCTACAGTTCATAATTGTATCATCTGTAAATATTTACCAAACACGTTGGCATAAATTACCTGTTTAATCCTTATAGCACCCTCAGGCATTTGTTACTGTTCTCCATTTCTCAGGTGTATAAACAGACTTAGGCTAAATACTTGTCATATGGGTGGACGTCGTAATCAACAAATGAATTAATGCGGAATTCAGGGTTTGGACCTAGTTGTTTCTACTCTAGTCCCATGACTTCCGTGTAGCACAGGGCTGCTTCTCAGGTTGTCCTGAGGCTTATGAAGCCACCTGTGATATGTAACTTTAACAAGCATGACAATTTGTTTACTGGACATTAGAAACTTCTAGGTAAGTGGTGTTTTATTTATTCATGTGTCTTAATCATTCCATTTCTTCGAAGGTTAGATTTTCTTTTTCTTTTTTTTGAGACGGAGTCTTGCTCTGTCACCAGGCTGGAGTGCAGTGGCGCAATCTCGGCTCACTGCAAGCTCCACCTCCCGGGTAGCTTGGACTACAGGCGCATGCCACCACCCTCAGCTAATTTTTATATTTTTAGTAGAGACAGGGTTTCACCATGTTGGCCAGGATGGTCTCAATCTCTTGACCTTGTGATCCACCCACCTCGGCCTCCCAAAGTGCTGGAATTACAGGCGTGAGCCACTGCGCCCAGCCGAAGGTTAGATTTTACCTGTGTCCTTTTTACAGCTTTTTTTTTTTAAGTTTCTTCATCTCTTACTTTCTCAGTCTCACTTCATACCACCTAGTACTGTGATCCGCACATAGATGGATAATGAGAGGGAAGTGAGTGGTAAATTAAACATATGCTCTTAACTAAGGCATAAAAAGTCATTTTATGAGAAGGCCCTCCCCTATTTCTGAAATGAGGCAAGCAAAGGCCTCATGGAAGTAGAACTTTCCTCCTAAATGTGGGAGATGACCAGAGTGGTGAGGAAAATGCTTGGAGTCCCCAGCTCCTTGATGTCCCGGGAGAAAATGCTTATTTCAGAGGGTGAGGGCATCCAAAGTGCTGACCTCTAGAGAGAGTAACTCTCACAGCGTCTCTAGCCATCCGACACGTGGACAACAGTAACCCGATGGCCAGGGCCTCTCATCGTGTGTCCTTTACCTAAAGCCCCGCGTCCCTCTCAGCTGACGCCTTCGCTTTCATTTTGTCGGGCCAATCTCTGACTCTCAAAACACACAGGGCACATCCGAGGAAGGGTGTAAATAATGAGAACCATAGAGGAGTTCCTAATGTGTATGCTATGAAGCACCTCGTGTGGGCAGATTTTCCTGGCTTTAGAAATGGAATGCACTTAAATTAAAAATTCCTACTTAATGTGACTTGGGAAAGATAAGAGTAACAGAAACTCTTCCGACATTTTATTTTATTTCTGTAATGAAAAGTGCAATGAAAAGAAGTTGAGAGAGCGATGATGGACCAACCAGAAAAGACAAGTCCTTTTGGATTTCTTCCTACACCTTAGAACGGAACGATTTTCTATGCATCTAAAGCGATTAACCATGGGGATTTTCCATTTTGAGGAAGCCCCTGGATGGAATATTGGATATTGTAGTTTAATGTCTTCTTTTTATGGTGGTAAGATATACATAACATAAAAATGACCATTTAAATCATTTAAGTGTATAGTTCAGTGACATTAAATACATTCCCACTGTTGTGAAACCATCACCACCATCCATCCCCCGAACTTTTTCAATATCTCAAACTAAAATTCAATGCCCATTAAATTTTAACTCCCCATTCCCTATTCCCCCAGCCCTGGCATCCATCCCTCTGTCTTTATAAGTTTGACCACTCTAGGTCCCTCATGTAAATGGAATCTATATCTGTCTGTCTGTCTGTCTGTCTGTCTGTCTGTCTATCTATCTATCTATCTATCTATCTATCTATCTATCTATCTATCTATCTATCTTTTTTTTTTTTGAGACAACGTCTTGCTATGTTGCCTAGCCTGGTCTTGAACTCGTGGGCTCAAGTGATCCTCCCACCTCAGCCTCTCTAGTAGCTGCGATTATAGGTGAGCACCACCATGCTTGGCTCCTATTTTTTAACCAATTTTTTAAACGTGGTTTCTTCTTTTAAAGTTTAGTATTGCTGATGATTTTATAGTGTACTGACTTGCATCATTTCCATACCCTCTGTTAGAGAGTACAGTGGGTTATAATGTGGACTTAGATGCCAAACCACTTAGGTTCGAATCCTGACTACCTCTTACTAATGGTGAGGCTTTGGCAAATGGATGAACTCTCTTTGCTTCAGTCTTCTCAGCTCTTACACAGCAGTGAACATTGTAACCACCTCAGAGGGTTATGATGAGAAGAAAGTGAGTTAATAAGGGTGTAACGCTTCAAACAGTATCTGGAACATGATGAACACCCAGTAAACGTTGAGTGCAGAAGCAGCAGCCCTTCTACCTCCCAAAGTTTTATTAATAGATGGGACTCCATTGTCATTTTGCGGCTTTGGAAACCGAGGCCTTGATAGATTGTAGAGTAGCTGATCCATGACCACTCCAGGCCCCATGACCGCCATTCTAGAAGTGGCCGATCCATGACCACTCCAGGCCCCATGACCGCCATTCTAGAAGTGGCCGATCCATGACCACTCCAGGCCCCATGACCGCCATTCTAGAAGTGGCCGATCCATGACCACTCCAGGCCCCATGACCGCCATTCTAGAAGTGGCCGATCCATGACCACTCCAGGCCCCATGACCGCCATTCTAGAAGTGGCCGATCCATGACCACTCCAGGCCCCATGACCGCCATTCTAGAAGTGGGCGATCCATGACCACTCCAGGCCCCATGACCGCCATTCTAGAAGTGGCCGATCCATGACCACTCCAGGCCCCATGACCGCCATTCTAGAAGTGGGCGATCCATGACCACTCCAGGCCCCATGACCGCCATTCTAGAAGTGGCCGATCCATGACCACTCCAGGCCCCATGACCGCCATTCTAGAAGTGGCCGATCCATGGCTACTCCAGGCCCCATGACTGCCATTCTAGAACCATGCTGATTTTACTACATGGCTCCTTTGTTGAAATGTTTTGGAAGAACATGGTGTGGTAGTCAGGCTTCAACCTGATCCCAATGATTCCTGCATCCCGAGGTTCACACCCTTGGGCACTCCCCTCCCACACTGCATCACAGTTGGTGTGTGTGACCAATAGAATATGATAGAAATGACGGCAGGCCGTTTCTGAGGTTCAGTTGTAAGTTGGTGTGTGTGGCCAATAGAATATGATAGAAATGACGGCAGGCCGTTTCTGAGGTTCAGTTGTAAGTTGGTGTGTGTGGCCAATAGAATATGATAGAAATGACGGCAGGCCGTTTCTGAGGTTCAGTTGTAAGTTGGTGTGTGTGGCCAATAGAATATGATAGAAATGACGGCAGGCCGTTTCTGAGGTTCAGTTGTAAGTTGGTGTGTGTGGCCAATAGAATATGATAGAAATGACGGCAGGCCGTTTCTGAGGTTCAGTTGTAAGTTGGTGTGTGTGGCCAATAGAATATGATAGAAATGACGGCAGGCCGTTTCTGAGGTTCAGTTGTAAGTTGGTGTGTGTGGCCAATAGAATATGATAGAAATGACGGCAGGCCGTTTCTGAGGTTCAGTTGTAAGTTGGTGTGTGTGGCCAATAGAATATGATAGAAATGACGGCAGGCCGTTTCTGAGGTTCAGTTGTAAGTTGGTGTGTGTGGCCAATAGAATATGATAGAAATGACGGCAGGCCGTTTCTGGGGTTCAGTTGTAAAACACATTGGCTTCTGTTTTGGTCAGAATCTCTCTCTCGGGTCACTTGGGAAGAAGCCACCTGCCTTCTTGTAGCAGCTCTAAGGGGAAGCCCTCCTGGCAAGTAACCCAAGCCCCTGGCAAACAGCCGGGGAGTGACTGAGGTTCCCCAGCAACCACAGGAGTGAGCTTAGATGCCCCAGCCTTTGTCCATCTTTGAGTTGACTGTGGCTCTGGCTGACAGTTTGACTGCAACCTCCTGAAACACCCTGAGGCGGAACCATGGCAGCTAAGACACTCCTGGATTCCTGACCCTCAGAACTGTGTGAAGTCACTTAGCTGGTTGCTTTAAGCTGCTCAGAAACAGATAACAAATGCACGTGGCTTAGTTCTCTGCTGGTATCTCTGTCTATAACGACATAACTTTTAAGCTGTGGCTCTATTCCTTTTTCCTATTTTACCATTAATGAACTAATGTGAAAATTTTTTTCCACACCTGCCCTGGCTCAGATAGATGGCAGGAAACCCTCAGGATTCTTCACAGTGCCTGGCAGGTGGGAGAGGCTCTGTAAATTATGTGTTGAATTAATGAATAAGTGCATTTTTTCCACATATAGGAAAGAAATCATTTTAGTTAAAGCATGTGTGTATTCAGGTCTCTTTTGTGAATATAAGAGGAATGTTTGATACTGAATTTTTCTTGTTTGGATCTTTGGTAATTGTTAGAATTTTCTTTTTTCTAATTGACTTCAACTTACGATTGTGACTTCTTATGATGCTTCATGTTGATAAACATAACAATTTTTTTAAACAGCACTACTGTTTGGAAAGGGACTAGTGTAGATGCCAGTTAGTGGTCACTGGTACAGGGAAGTCAGTGCACTCACTTTCTGTTTCTGTCATAACAAATTACCACAAATCAATGGCTTTAAAAACCACACACGTGTTATCTTACAGCTCTGTAGGTCCAAAGTCCGACATGAGTCCCACTGGACTAAAATTCAAGATTGTTGGCAGGGCCGGCTCCTTCTGGACACTCTAGGGAGAATCTGCTTCCTTGCCTTTTCCAGCTTCTAGAGGCCACTCTTATTTCTTGGCTCCTGATCCCTTCCTTCAGACCAAGATGATTCCTGTCAATGAGGAATCTGGGTTGCAGGAAATACCCTGGTTTTTGAGAAGGTAATCAGGTGTTGGAGTATGAATAACAAATCTACTCCTAGTTTGTGCTGTATACTTCCTTTCTCATTGCAGCCACTGAAACCATGTCAGATCCAGAAATTTTATTCAAGGTCGAGATAGCTGTGTGACCAAAAGGAAGTAGGAGTAGGAGACAGTTCTCTCTCACCATTTTTCTCACTTAAAGAAAAAGCTGGCCAGGCATGGTGGCTCATGCCTATAATCCCAGCACTTTGGGATGCCCAGGCGGGAGGATTGCTTGAGCCCAGGAGTTTGAGACTAACCTGGGCAACATAGTGAGACCCTGTCTTTACAAAAAATAAAAAATTGTCCAGGTGTGGTGGTGCAGGCCTGTAGTCCCAGCTACATCCCTGTGGTCCCAGCTACTCAGGACGATGAGGCGGGAGGATCACTTTAGCCCAGGAAGTCAAGGTTGCAGTGAGCCATGATCACACCACTGCACTCCAGCTTGGGAGCCACAGACTGAGGCCCTGTCTCAAAAATAAATAAATAATAAAATCTGAAAAGAAAAAGCTAGATACAACAAACGTAGAAGAAACACCTTCCAACTACCTCAGGTAACACAGGATGATATTAAATTTACAGTTGTTGGTGTTAGAGAAGAGGTCACAGAATAGATCTTTTGTATTTGGTATGTGTAATATTTTTTAAAATTGAATTTTTATATCTTAAGGTCAGGGCATCTATAGGATTTGAGTCTCTACTTTTATTATAGAAAACATAATTTCATTAATAGATGTTAAGCTCTGAGTAAGTTTAATAAGATTGGAAAAAACTCTAAACCACCTCCAGTCCCCAAAACCCTACCATACCCAAGTTGGCCTGTAATCCTCTGTGGGAGGGGGGAAGCCCCACTTGTCATTGGAAATCAGCAGTGCAAGATGGAGAATGTTTTTCTCTCTAATCCCTTCAAGGTACAAGGTAGGACACCTAGAAGGTTAAGGCAGAAGCCTTCGTTGTGTTTGCTTCTCCTTTGTATCCAGTTAACCACTCATGTGGCATTGAATGAATGAGTGGTTGTTTCTTGCAAGCCTGCTGCAGGCCCAGCCTCATCTTAGGCATTGGACATGTGCAGCAAGCTGGATTTGTGCTACTTTGCTGCACAGTTGGCCTGTTAACAAGTAATGCCTAGGGAAGGGGGTGTTGTCTTCAAAGTGCACACAGCCTAAACATAGGTGAAGATAGGAGTGAGAAAAGTACACAATGAAATTAAGGATAAGAGAGGAAATGGTCAAGTACTGGGGGAGTGCACAGGAAGATGGATTAACTGACTCCTCTTCAAAGATCTTGCAGCAGTGGACCCATTTCAGTTGGGTCCTAAAAGGTGAGCAGGATTTCTTAAGAAGAGAAAGGGGGACAGGATGTTCCAGGCTGCAGAAACCAGTCGTCAGAAGTGTTATAAATGTGAAGACAGGTATTAATTGGATAAAGTCTAAGAAGTCATGGAATCATGAAGTTAGAAATGATCTAAGTGGTTACATCTCACCACTCCCAGCCAGGGGATTCTGGATAAGTTACAATGTGTTCAGCCTTGGCCATAGAAAAACAACCTCAAGGCTTAAATAATATGATACGGGGAATTTATTGGTTCACAGATCTCAAAAATATGGAGATAGCCCAGGCTTCAGACATAGTTTGATAAAGGCTCTTGGTAGCAGAATGGCTGCTGAGCGTCAGCTCTCAGGCTGATGTGTCATACATTCTGGAAGAGGAGATACTCCCTTTCCTCCTACTGACAAAAAAAGCCTTTGAGTTCACTCTGATTGGCCCAATTTTGGACACATGCTCAGCCTCCTCCCAAACCGTTCTCTGCCAGAGGAACACCATCTGCTGATTGGCCTGGGCTCTGGTCCCTGCCTATGGCTGTGGCAAGGGGGCCAGGTGTGGGCTGATTGGATTAGGCCAGTCAGAGCCCATTGCTAAAATCTGGGCTTGAAGCCAATAGGACGTGGCCATGTCAGTGGGTGGGACAATGGTGGGAATAAGGGGAAGGGTGCTGCAGAGGCGGCCCACGCTGTCCACATGCAGAGGCTCGCTACAGAAGCTACAGAAGAAGATGGTTACATTTCAAGTGGGCAGGTGCCGTTTGCTTATGAGCACCATCAGCCACATCAGCCACGGTTCTTTGAATTTTACCTAATTGTCTCTAATTCTTAACAATTCTTTGAGGTAAGTGTTCTCCAATAATTTCCAGTTGAGCAAACTGAGACTCAGAGAAAATAACTTGACCAGAGCTACACACCTGAGAATGGCTGAATCAGAACTGGAAATGGCAGCCTCTGTTTCCAGAGACTGGGTTGTCTCCATTATATCGTGGCGCTTGAGCAGGCAGCTACAGCTCCATTTGGGAAGCTCTGTTGGTTAGGACTGGGCAGGGGAGGCTTGTGTAGCCCTGTGGTTAGGACTGGTTTGTGGGTGGCGGTGTGTGTGTGTGTGTGTGTGTGTGTGTGTGTGTTTGGTTTGGTTTGTCTGTTTAATAACGTAAAGCCAAACCTGCCTCCTAGTGATTCCTCTGCGTTTATTCTAGTTCTGAGGTATGGAGCGGTGATTCTCAAACCCAGCAGAGCATTATAAAAATACAGTTTTCTGGCCTCCATGCCAGATCAGCTGAAGCAGAGTCTGTGAGTGGGACCGTAGAAACTGGATTTTCTTTTTTCTTTTTAAGTTTCAGAGATGATTCTCCAGTACAAACAGGTTTGGAGGACTCCTGCTTTAGAATACAACGAAGCTGTTCTGTCTTCCATGTTACAAACCCTCAGATGTTTAAGACTGGGGTCACCCATGAGCCTTTGCTTCAGGCTCCAGTGTGGTGCTTAAGTGCCGGGACTTTGGAATCAGAAAGACTGAGTTCAGATTCCGTCTCCACTGTTGATAAGTCGTGTGCCTTGGGTAAATCTCTTAATATTGCTAAGTCTTAGTTTTCATATTTATAAAGTGGGAATAATCAATTTAAATTAAAAATCGTTGTGAGGAATAAGTTAAGAAAACGTGAAGTTCTTAGCGTGAAGCTGGAAGAACATGGAAAAGTTTCAGTGGATATCACCTGTTACTAATGATTGTTAAACCTCCCTGGCTCTGGCTTCTTTAGTTCGTTTCAATTGTTTTTTTTCTAGATCTTTTTTACCTCTAATTTTTGGTGTTTGCTAATTTATCTCAAAACAGTAATGGTGTGTAGTGGGTAGAGGCTGGCATAAAATTCTAGACACCTGACTACATCAGTCAACAGCAGAGCTATAGCTTCCTGTGGTCTGAGTGTGACATTTCTCTGGGTGCAGATATCCTCTGGGTATTAAACGTCTTGGAATTTCCCATCCTTGTTTAAGTCCTTTTCTCCTGGGAAATTGATCAGTGGCTGATTATGGGAACATCTGGATTCTTCAAGAATTTTTGGACGTTCTGCAACTTGGTTTCAAGCCTAAGCTGTGTTTGGAGGCATGAATATGAGTTGGTTTCATCATAAAAGTGTGTTGATTCCAAGACTGCTGTGATCCGTTTTATCTCGCATGGATCTGTCAGCGTTTTCCTATTCATCCGCAAGTGGTGACTCATTTAAAAGGAGGTATGCTCTCCAGCAGAGAGCCAAGTTGTTCCACAACATGTACATTGACATTTACATAAAATGCAAATATGTTCATCAAGTTTTACTTATATTTGTCTCTGGATTTTCAAATACATGTTTATTTGCTGTATCCACCTATACCAGTTTTCTTTAAAAATACTTGTAAGGCACGATTTTAACTACTTGAAGCTTGATGAAGGTTGTACACAGCCTGTTTCAATGCACTTAGCATATTCTCTTTGACGATGACCCGTTCTTGCCAGCCTTGCATGTGGGCGTGGGTGGGTCACCTTTAGGCTGGAACAACCGAGAGTGGAGACATGGAGACTTCCTGTTCTTTGATAACGTACAGGGAGGGCTTTTCAGGGCAGTAAAACCGTCACTGAAGACCATGAAAATGCCCAAATGCTACATGTTCCAGTCAGCTAGTTCAGGCATTTATTACTGGCCTTAAAATGTTATGTAATTTTGTTTATGGCATCATAATAGTATAAAAGCAGCTGGGCTCACTAGGGGGCTGTGTGAGTAATCTATAAAACTTGGACCAGCTACAGGAATAACAGCACAGTTGCATACAGCAAAAATGTATTTGGGAGTAGCTGTCTTTTACTGAAATGGTAGAGAACAAACTGAGGTACAGAAAATGTAAAACTCTCAAGTATCTGCTTCCCTCAGCTCCCTTCATTCTTCTAATGACTAGAAAGGAAACACTGTTGTAATGAGAAAACTTCTCCAGAAAATCTTCCAACAGGTTCCTAACATCCCCAAACTGAATTTCAGTGGGTCCTCTCTCAGTTCCTTGAAGAAATGAAGTAAACAAGAGATGAAACATGTTAAAGTTGAGATGAAATAAATGTGATGTTAGTTATCTAAAATTCTGTAGGAGGAGAATTAAACGCTAAAAACGATCCTAAAATGTTTGGTAGACTCGCTTACTCTACTGCCAGGGGAGTGTGTTTCCTTGTTCAGAATCACTGATGTATGTTGTATAAAAGTACTTTTTAGTAGGGCTCCTATTTTGAGCCAGGTATTATCAGCACTAGGAATTCAAGGATTTACCTTTGAATGGCGCAGTGTTAGGCTTGGAAACAGGTAATTGCTGTAATGGAGGCAGGTTTCAAGTGGAATGAGAGCCAGAAAGGAGTCCAAAGTCAAGAACATTTGGGAAGGTTTTGGAAAGAACATGTTGGTGCAGGGATTTTAATAATTTTCCAAGCAGAGGGAATAAAATATATAGAAGTTTTCCATTGTAAGAGAGCATGCCACATTCAAAGATATCATTAACTAGTTTTTGGTGTTATTGGAGCTTAAAATATGAGAAGGAGGTGACTAGAAATGCAGTTAAGAAAGGGAAGAACCAAGTATTATGATGTTGACCGAAGTTGGAGCAACAGTCTTGGAGACGGGAATAAGGGAGCAGATTTGAGACAGTTAAGAGGTGGATTGGACCCACCTCTGAACTGTGATTGTGCTTGAGACGTAAGGACATGTTTTTCCTTAAGGACATAAAGGTGGTTTGCATGAGTGAGCAGTTGGAGGAGCCATTTTGTTAGGTAAAAAATAAAGGAAGGGGAACAGGAACAAGGTAGAAATTAATGGGTTCACTTTTAAGTATTGATAACTTTGAGATGCCTATTGGACAAATATAATTGTCTAATTGATGATCATTCTATGTAGTTGAAGTTTAGAAGAGAAGTCTAGATTTGAGAGCCATTAGGATATAGATTATAGGTGAAAGACAGGCATGGATGAGAACTCTCAGGCAAAATGTATGGCATCAGAAGACGAGAGCCAAGGACAGGTCCCAAGGGATCCCCAGCACTTATAGGGATGGTGAAAAGCAGATATTCCAGGACGGGAGACCAAAAGGGAGGCAGTGAAGGAGGTGGTAGGAGATCCAGGATAGGGAGAGGTTATAAAATCCAAGGGAGGAGGGAATGCTGTGTGGTCAGGTGAGCGATGGTAGGTAAGGCAGAGAGTCAAACAGGGACTTAAGAAGTATCCATTGGCCTGGAAACTGTTAAGTTCATGTGGGGTCGTGAGATGTGCACATTCAGCAGAGTTGAGAGGGCAAATAGATTACAGAGCAAGGAGAAGTCGGATGGAAGTGGTGTATGGAGAACATTCTCTTAAGAACCTACATGTGTACAGAAGGAAAGAGAAATACACTACATTCCCAGGGAGGTCAGGGAGACTTTTGTTTATGTTTTAAGATGACAAATTTGAACATGTTTATATGCTTAGGGAAAGAAGCAATATGAAAGGAGAGACTCAAAAATGTAGGATGAGAGGATAATCAGTGTAGCAGGTCTTAGATTAGTTGTTCTCAGAGTCTGCTCTGGGATCATAAAACATCACCTGGAAATTGTTAGCAAAGTAAATTACCAGTCCTTACTTCAGATTACTCAATTAGAAACTCTGGGTTTGGAGCTCAGCAGCCTGTGTTTCAATGAGCCTTCTGGGTGATTCTCACGCACACTCAAGCTGGAGAGCTCCTGTCCTAGATGAAGAGGAACAGTGGGATCCAGGGCCCAGGTGAGTGCACATGCCCTTGCACAGGAGGGGAGGTGCTTCTGCGGGCGCAGGCACAAATAGATTTGTGCTGCATGGTTGTGAAGTTGATGGGCTTTGTTCCTGATGACATACTTTTTCTTTTTGAACTAGGAAGCAGTTTTGTCCATTGAATCCTGAGATGAGAGTAGGGTTGGGCTGGGTCAGTAGCTTATGCCTGTAATCCCAGCACATGGGCAGGCCAAGGCGGGACGGATCACCTGAGGTCAGGAGTTTGAAACCAGCCTGGGTGACATGGTGAAACCCTGTTTCTAAAAATGCAAAAATTACCCGGGCGTGGTGGCAGGCGCCTGTAATCCCAGCTACTTGGGTGGCTGAGGCAGGAGAATCGCTTGAACCCAGAAGGCAGAGGTTGCAGTGAGCCGAGACCGCGCCATTGCACTCCAGCCTGGGCAACAAGAGCGAAACTCCATTTAAAAAAAAAAAAAAAAAAAGAGTAGACTTGATTGAGTTTACTCAAATGAAATACACATTTAAGGTTTTGGAAATGTTGCATTCTAATTGACCTATAATATGATTAGTTTTAAGCTGAAGCATACCTTTATTCTCTCCCTCATTACACTCTTCCTCCTGGCCCTTTCTCAGCAGGAGCTGACTGTTCTTCTTGCTACTGATTCCTTGAAACCGAAACGATTCCATCATAGCCTGTGTTGGGAGACTCAGTCTTGAGGTGTTCAGGGGCTTTTTGTTTGTGGTTTCAATGGGGCTTTTAAATCTTTGTCTTAATCTTTGGATACTTTCAGGAGATGGCTGAGATCACATCATTTAGAGCCAGAATAAAGGAGAATGTTTGAGCAAGGATTCATCAAACCAATATGAGAAATTTACAGATGTTAGATTTTATTAACACTCCCACACAGGAGGTTTGAAATGAACAACAGCAAAACAGGACGTAGATTTTTAAGAAGAAAAGTCAAACAATTTAAAAATCTGCCATGGGCATCTGGTCGTGGGTCCCAGGGGGCCACGTGCTGGACTTTTGATCTCATCAAATGCGTTTCTTAGCTGGTCATGAAAGCTGGTTGTCGTTTCATTTCATGATTTCAATATGGTGAAGAATTTGGATAAAGAAGCAGCATTTTGATGTGTTTAGTTTTTAGGGGAAATAATGAATTTGCTGTAACTAGTCATTAATTTTCTTTTTCTATTTTCTTTCCTTTTGATGAAAATGCATTTATATTAATTCTAATATGGGAACACAACCCCCATGGGGTGAAAGAGTCTGAAAAGTTATAACTGAAAACAATGTCCCGAAAGCTGCCACAAAATAAGGCCAGGGAGATGAGGCATCTTGTCTCTGTGAAGACCTTCAGTATGAGGTCTTCTCAGCTGGTAGCATGGGGGGAAAGATCACGTTGGAAGTCATCTACCATCATGCAGAGCCCCAGCTCCTTGCTATGGAAGGGTAGATTGGACTTTTTAGATCTAAGAACCTTTTTTCCACTCAGTACCTTGAGCATTTGCGTTGATAAATGTTTGGTTTCTGACAGCAGTCTTGGATTCAACTGTATAAGGGAACCTTTGAATTTGAACCGCTTTGCAAGTGTTTCTTGTTTCGTGTAAAGAATGCTTGGCCACATCTCCAAAGGTGTGGCTACGAAAGAAATAAGGAAATCCTACCTCTAAATGGAATATAACAGTCCTCAAAGCGAACCCAGTGAGTCAATTCTTGTCTGAGTTTTTGCTTATTCTATGGAGTAAATAGATTTTGTTAATATTGTAAACACAGTTTAGTGGAATATGCAATGTTTCCGTAGTTCCTTGATTTTATTATTGGGAATATGAATTAAATACAAATTAAGTGGGTTTAGAAGGGGATTAGTAAAAAACAAAACAAAACCTGAATTAGAAAATGTTACTTTAAGATTTATTTGATGGAAGTATTTAGCCTATAAGTGAGCCTTTACTATTATATTAGATCAACTCTCAGACTGACATTTTGATTGTTTCACATTTGATCAGAAATTGAGACTATAGGATGCTACTTCTATTTAAATATAAATGTGGGACAGATGTAGTGACTGACATCTGTAATCCCAGCACTTTGGGAAGCCCAGGTAGGACACTTGTTTGAACCCAGGAGTTTGAGACCAGCCTGGGCAACATAGTGAGACTTCATCTCTACAAAAAACTATTAGCCAGCTGCAGTGGCTCATGCTGGTCCCAGTTACTCCAGAGGCTGAGACCAGAGGATCACTTAAGCCCAGAAGGTGGAGGCTGCAATGAGCTGTGATCATGCTACCGCACTCCAGCCTGGGTGACAGAACAAGATCCTGTCTCAAAAACTCGAAATGTGATTCTATTACAGCTGTGCTATTAAAACTCCCACCTCTTTAAAGATGGAATTGAGCATTACCCAAAAACTTTAAAGGGAGAATGTCTCTGGGCTATGTAAAGAGCTACAGTTCCACAAACCCTCCTAAAAGAAGACCCCACGTGCTCAAGGTCCCCATGACCGTGGGTCTGCACCCAGAGCCAGGCTGGAGGGAGGGCTGGGAGACTCGCCTGCCCAAGCCTGGTTTGAAGACCTGATGCATGGAAGCAACAGTTCTTTGAGAGGACAAAATAGAAAAAGAGAAATAGTATGGAATTCTTTCTTTCTGCAACAAGTTCTATGTAATCGTTTCCCAAGTTAAAGGACCCCTTCTTACTTAACTCTAACCATAAACAACTTTATTGGAGCCAGAACTTACACATGCTTTCAGTATTAACATTAAAGGATCATTCTCAGAAAGTCTGGCTTTTCTGTTTCCTTCTTTGCTTTTGTTATGGCAGGATAGATTGGACTTTTTCTTTTAGATCTAAAAATCTTTTTTTCACTTGGTACCTTGAGCATTTGTATTTATAAATGTTTGGTTTCTGACAGCTGTTTTGGGTTCAGTTGTATAAGGGAACCTTTAAATTTAAACCGCTTTGCAAGTGTTTATTCCTTTAAAACATTTCTAATGTAAATGTATATACATAGAAGGATTCTGAAAGGTTCTTCTTAGTCAGGTTTAATCTGTCCTGACAGCTCAATGCTATTGAATTCTTAAAATGAAGATGTCCTGGTTGTCTGTGCAGCCCAGGGCTCCCAGAGGGCTCTCAGGTAGCTAGTTAACCAAGGGACACCCAGCAGTGGCAGATCCTCATCCTCTCAAAAAGGGCAGAGCTTCGGGACACTGGTCTAGCCCAGCAGGCATCCCCTTAGCACTGTGTGCTGTTGGCACTACCTGTCCTAAAACCTCAATATTTATTTGGCCTCATGTTTATTCTTTGCAGACTTATTGAGCACCTACTATAAATCAGGTAGGTCATCGTCTAGATAGGTCTGACCCAGATAAACAAGGTTTCTGTCCTCTTCAAGCTTAATTTTAAGTGTAATCACAGTGGGATACTCCAAGTTAGGGATCAACAGACCTCTCTCTAAAGGGTCAGATAGTGAATGATTTAGGCTTTCTGGGCTATACCGTCTTTCTTAGAACTGCTTTACTCTGCCTTGTAGCTCAAAAGCAGCCATAAGCAATACATAACTGGAAAGGCAGGGACGAGTACCAACAAAACTTGATTTACAAAAACAGTGGCCGAGGTACCATGGGCTGTAGTTTGTTGACTGCTAGTCTAGACAATGCCAATCCACTGAGACAGAATCCATATCATACAGTCTGGAGTAGGGATTTGTTTCCCAGACTGCAAAGCAGCTTTCCAGTCAACGTCGGCAGCCATAGAGAATAAGTGCATTTCTCAGCATTTGCTGCCTGTTGCAGAGTTACTGACAGCTGCATTTGTCATGTTCTTGAATTATTTTTTCCACCTTGGTTTAATAGGTTTCCCAAAAAGCCTCAGTGAGGAAGCATCACCCTAATTTGTTCTACATGTCATGTGTGTGATAAGCAGAAAGGAAACAGACAAACTCAGACCTTGAAACTGGAATGAAGCATTTAATTCCTGCTCCCATGCTAGCTTGGCAGAGTTGAGCAATACATCTACAGACGTCCTTCCAACACAATGACTTCGTTGCCCTCTGTGTGGCCTCTTACCTGGTGCTGGGCTCTAGGGTTGATGTAGGACTTGGGTCCTGCCCTCAGGGATCTCACATCACAGGAGTGGAGTCGATGAAGTACATTCCTGCCTTCATTCCCGAGGCATGTCTGACTACCTGCCACACATGTGCAAGGAGAGCAAAAGTGACCAAGGCCTGGACCCCGTCCTAGGTGAGTTCACAGTAAAGCAAATGAAAAATCATGCACAGTAAGGTAAAATCCAGTGCTGCAGCCTGTGATAGAGATCATGCCGCTTGGGTTGCTGAGTTCTCCCCCTCGTTGTAATTCAGCAGGCTTCCCAGTGTGCCCTGCATCCTCATCTGTGAGGCCGACTTCACTATCATTCCCACTTATAGGTGGAGGAGACTGAGGCACAGAGCTCCCAAAGCCCCACAGCTGGCGAGTGGCAGGGCTAGCGTGCGATGTCCACTAGACTGGTGTCTGACGCAGAAGCTGCGCTTCTCACCCCTGGGATCTGGAAGATAATTCTGATGTGTGAGATCCAGGAGAATGCATTGTTTAGCCAGAAAATGTTTTGTAACTGCATTTTTGTTTTTGACAGAAATGTGACTGCCCACTGAATAGTGAGCATTGGAATTAGAGACCATCTAGCTGCCGGGGCTGGGTTTGGTCATCTTGCGTTTTTTAAGTCTGAATTGGGATGCTGTATTCGATTCTTAAAACGGCCATGGTGACATACCACAAACAGGGTAGCTTAAAACAACAAAATTTTTTTCACAATTCTGAGGGTAAAGGTCTGAAATCAGGGCGTGTGGGCAGGGTGAGCTCCTTCTGAGGCAGACTGTTCCGTTTCTTTCCCGTAGCTCCTGGTGGCAGCAGGCTGTCCTTGGTGTTCCCTGCTTGTACCTGCATCACCCCAGTCTCTGCCCCCGTCTTCATGTGGAACTCTCCTTGTGTCTGTCTTCTCATGGCCACCTTCTTACTGGGATGCCAGTCATGTTGAATTTCGGGCCTACTTACTCTCTAGTGTGATCTTTTCCTAACTCATTCTATCTACAGTGACTTTATTTCCAAATAAGGTCACATTTTAGGGTACTGGGGGTTAAGACTTCAACATAATCTTATTGGAGGGAACATAATTCACCCCATAACAGACACCTTTAGACAGGATGGAACTTCCTTATTCACCCCTAGCCCATCCCAGTTGTTTTTACCCTGGAAAAGATTCCCAAATCTCTGTTGCCATTGCCCTCCTTGGGCATTTGAGTTGACTCCTTCTTTCTTCAAGCTATTTCTGTGTGATGACAGAGAGAGGGTTTAAATGACTCATCTCCTATCTAGGTTTCTTTCATTAAGATGCCGAGACTCTTCTTTTCACTAAATATTATTTCCACCCACTCATGGAGCAGAGAGCCACGTTCCATAAAAGGGCTCTCTGATATACGGTAGTAGTCACATGCTTTTAGCAATGCATACCTGCCAAGAATGGACAGATACCTCAGATTAGGCTGTACTGTCCTGAATTTTTGGTCTCTTTCCCAGGTGTTTCCCAGGAAAGAAATTCATTATCAATAAGGTGGAAAGGACTTCTCAGTATTGAGCCCCATAATTTGCCTTCGTAGTGTTGGAGGGAACAAGGGGAAATGGGAGCAGAAATGAGAAATGGGAGAGGAGTTTGGGAAGTAAGGCGGAAAGGCCAGCACAGGTAGCATTGCTGACGAGAGACAAAGCTTGGATGAGGCCACTCTGCCTTTCACCACCAAGGCCTGTAATAGACTGGCCAGGCTCCGAAACGCTGGACTCAACGTTTAACTGCCTGCTCTGGAGGATTTAGGACAAACAGGGAAAAACCTTTTGAAATAGTTCTCTCTGCCCCCCGCCCTCCCGCACTTATTTTTTTTCTAATAAAGATGATTTCTACCCACTCGTGAAGTAGAAAGACGCAGTCTATAAAACAGCTCTTTAATTCTGGAAACTTACCTCTGGATTCAGATCAGCTCTATAAATGACTGGAATGGTGACTGTTGTACTTATTTTTTGTGGGAACTCTTAGTTGAATTTTACTTCATTGCAATTGTGGTTAATTTCTACTGAGTTTTAAATGCCTGCACACACTAGGAAAAGTTTTTTGAGCGCCTACTGTTGGGTATCATGAGAGGCACGAAGATGGATAAATCATGATTCTTGCCCTAGATGAACTTATCAATTAGTAAGGGACAGAAGATGCCTCCCAGCATAAATAGTAGAACTAGGAATGGGTAAGAGCACCTAGAGAGGAACCAAATGTCTCTGGATGTTCCGACTTGGAAGCGTTTACTTCACGATTCCTTCTGCCCATGTTCACTCAGCTCCTACAAAGAGCCAGGCGTGCTGGTGTATAGTGATGATAAACGACAGCTGACAGGAGCCAGGATGCTGGGGTGAGACTGGGCTTGCACCTGGCTCTGTGGCCTGATGGAGGGAGGGGCTTAGCCTCCATATGCTTCACATCTTCTTTATCTGTAAAATGGGAATAATATTAATATCTCCCTCACAGATATGCTGTGTATACATAGACACAACACAGAGAAAGTAAGAAAGACTGCTTGCCAGCCGAGTGCACTATAAAAGTAGTATGTTCCCTGCATGGGGCCAACCTTCAGAGGTGTTAATAACAGGGCAGGAAGGAAACAAAAAGAGGAATTATTATAAATGGTGGTAAGTGGAGGGCAAATAAGATTCTCATGCAAGGGAGAATCTTTTAAGTTTTGGGGTTTTTTGTTTTTTGTTTTCTGAGACAGTCTCACTCCGTCACCCAGGCTGGAATGCAGTGGCACGATCTCGGCTCACTGCAACCTCCACCTCCTGGGTTCATGTAATTCTCCTGCCTCAGCCTCCAGAGTAGCTGGGATTACAGGCATGCACCACCACACCTGGCTAATTTTTGTATTTCTAGTAGAGACGAGGTTTCACCATGTTGCCCAGGCTGGTCTCAAGCTCGTGGCCTCAAGTGATCTGCCTGCCTCAGCCTCCCAAAGTGCTGGGATTACAGGTGTGAGCCACCGTGCGTGGCCCCTCCTTTCGGTTTTGTGATTAAGGATGGACTTCCTCCAATGGTGGCATTTAAAGCCATGCCATGAGGGAGCAAGGCTAGAAGAGTGGGGATGGCTGTTGTGTGGTAGAGGCTGGATCAAGCGGAGCCGTGTTAGGCCATTTGAAGAAGTTTCAATTTTCTTCTGAAGTAGCAGAAAACCATTGAAATGTTTGAAATGTGGGTGTGACTGAATCCTTCATGTTTGTAAAAAGATGATTCTAATTCTGTCTAGAGAAGTATATAGAGAATGGATTCAAGGGGTCAAGCATGAGATGAGGTTAAGAGTGTCACAATAACATAGGCTAGAGACGATGGCTTTCCCTGGGCCGGAGACGATGGCTTTCCCTGGGCTAGAGACGATGGCTTTCCCTGGGCTAGAGACGATGGCTTTCCCTGGGCCGGAGACGATGGCTTTCCCTAGGCTAGAGACGATGGCTTTCCCTAGGCTAGAGACGATGGCTTTCCCTAGGCTAGAGACGATGGCTTTCCCTGGGCCGGAGACGATGGCTTTCCCTAGGCTAGAGACGATGGCTTTCCCTAGGCTAGAGACGATGGCTTTCCCTAGGCTAGAGACGATGGCTTTCCCTGGGCTAGAGACGATGGCTTTCCCTAGGCCGGAGACGATGGCTTTCCCTGGGCTGGAGACGATGGCTTTCCCTGGGCTAGAGACGATGGCTTTCCCTGGGCCGGAGACGATGGCTTTCCCTGGGCTGGAGACGATGGCTTTCCCTGGGCTAGAGACGATGGCTTTCCCTGGGCCGGAGACGATGGCTTTCCCTGGGCTGGAGACGATGGCTTTCCCTGGGCCGGAGACGATGGCTTTCCCTAGGCTAGAGACGATGGCTTTCCCTGGGCTAGAGACGATGGCTTTCCCTGGGCCGGAGACGATGGCTTTCCCTGGGCCGGAGACGATGGCTTTCCCTGGGCCGGAGACGATGGCTTTCCCTAGGCTAGAGACGATGGCTTTCCCTGGGCTAGAGACGATGGCTTTCCCTGGGCTAGAGACGATGGCTTTCCCTGGGCTAGAGACGATGGCTTTCCCTGGGCTAGAGACGATGGCTTTCCCTGGGCTAGAGACGATGGCTTTCCCTGGGCTAGAGACGATGGCTTTCCCTGGGCCGGAGACGATGGCTTTCCCTGGGCTAGAGACGATGGCTTTCCCTGGGCCGGAGACGATGGCTTTCCCTGGGCCGGAGACGATGGCTTTCCCTGGGCCGGAGACGATGGCTTTCCCTGGGCCGGAGACGATGGCTTTCCCTGGGCTAGAGACGATGGCTTTCCCTGGGCCGGAGACGATGGCTTTCCCTAGGCTAGAGACGATGGCTTTCCCTAGGCTAGAGACGATGGCTTTCCCTAGGCTAGAGACGATGGCTTTCCCTAGGCCGGAGACGATGGCTTTCCCTGGGCCGGAGACGATGGCTTTCCCTAGGCTACAGACGATGGCTTTCCCTAGGCTAGAGATGATGGCTTTCCCTGGGCCGGAGACGATGGCTTTCCCTGGGCCGGAGACGATGGCTTTCCCTGGGCCGGAGACGATGGCTTTCCCTGGGCCGGAGACGATGGCTTTCCCTAGGCTACAGACGATGGCTTTCCCTAGGCTAGAGACGATGGCTTTCCCTGGGCCGGAGACGATGGCTTTCCCTGGGCCGGAGACGATGGCTTTCCCTGGGCCGGAGACGATGGCTTTCCCTGGGCCGGAGACGATGGCTTTCCCTGGGCCGGAGACGATGGCTTTCCCTAGGCCGGAGACGATGGCTTTCCCTGGGCCGGAGACGATGGCTTTCCCTAGGCTACAGACGATGGCTTTCCCTAGGCTAGAGACGATGGCTTTCCCTGGGCCGGAGACGATGGCTTTCCCTGGGCCGGAGACGATGGCTTTCCCTGGGCCGGAGACGATGGCTTTCCCTAGGCTAGAGACGATGGCTTTCCCTAGGCCAGAGACGATGGCTTTCCCTGGGCCGGAGACGATGGCTTTCCCTAGGCCGGAGACGATGGCTTTCCCTGGGCCGGAGACGATGGCTTTCCCTGGGCCGGAGACGATGGCTTTCCCTGGGCCGGAGACGATGGCTTTCCCTGGGCCGGAGACGATGGCTTTCCCTGGGCCGGAGACGATGGCTTTCCCTGGGCCGGAGACGATGGCTTTCCCTGGGCCGGAGACGATGGCTTTCCCTGGGCCGGAGACGATGGCTTTCCCTAGGCCGGAGACGATGGCTTTCCCTGGGCCGGAGACGATGGCTTTCCCTAGGCTACAGACGATGGCTTTCCCTAGGCTAGAGACGATGGCTTTCCCTGGGCCGGAGACGATGGCTTTCCCTGGGCCGGAGACGATGGCTTTCCCTGGGCCGGAGACGATGGCTTTCCCTAGGCTAGAGACGATGGCTTTCCCTAGGCCAGAGACGATGGCTTTCCCTGGGCCGGAGACGATGGCTTTCCCTAGGCCGGAGACGATGGCTTTCCCTGGGCCGGAGACGATGGCTTTCCCTGGGCCGGAGACGATGGCTTTCCCTGGGCCGGAGACGATGGCTTTCCCTGGGCCGGAGACGATGGCTTTCCCTGGGCCGGAGACGATGGCTTTCCCTGGGCCGGAGACGATGGCTTTCCCTGGGCCGGAGACGATGGCTTTCCCTGGGCCGGAGACGATGGCTTTCCCTGGGCCGGAGACGATGGCTTTCCCTGGGCCGGAGACGATGGCTTTCCCTGGGCCGGAGACGATGGCTTTCCCTGGGCCGGAGACGATGGCTTTCCCTGGGCCGGAGACGATGGCTTTCCCTGGGCCGGAGACGATGGCTTTCCCTGGGCCGGAGACGATGGCTTTCCCTGGGCCGGAGACGATGGCTTTCCCTGGGCCGGAGACGATGGCTTTCCCTGGGCCGGAGACGATGGCTTTCCCTGGGCCGGAGACGATGGCTTTAGGAGGTTGGCATAGGAGATGTAGGAGATGGGAAAAATGAAATAGATTCAAGATACATTCTGGGGTCAGAATTGTCATGACTCTGATAGACTGGATGACATGGATTGGGGAGAAATGGGGGAAGGTTTTATAATACTGCTCATGTATTAGAGAAAAATAAATACTGTCATCTCTCAGATGGGAATGAATCTTCCCATCTAAGGAGTAGGTTTGGGGGCAGAACTTAGTCATATTAAATTTGAAAAATGTCATTTAAAGAGAGATTTTTTCTCATTGAAAAATCATCTTCCAGTACACAAGTGTCAGAGTGAGGATACTCACAGTGGGAGTGGCTTTGAGAGAGGTGGGAAGAGGAAAGGAGGGTGCCTGAACAGATAGTGGCATCTGTTAGCAAGTCAGGGTCTGGAGGAAGGGCAGCCTGATTTAGTTTGTGACTTGATTGAAACTGTTTAGACCTATAAGCATAGGTATTAATGATGATGATTTTGTTAAAATGCAAAAGTCTATTTTACAAAATGACTCTCATATGAGAAAATACTCTGAAATTGAATTTAACATCCAGGAAGTCCTATCATATTTAAAATTTATTTTTCTGGACATTTACGTTTCCGAATGACTTGGTGAGAAATAGGTCTGTGAGTGACTCACTGAACCCCCCAAAAAAGTACTCATATAGGTAGATTTCCTCGTGCCGATCAAAAGACGTTATTAAGGGAAGTGTTCTTTAGCCATGGCTAACTGGGACATTTGTTCTTGAGTTGGGATGGTCTGATGCTCCTTGGACAGTGTCTGGTTACAAGAGCAACTGATGGGTGCACTAGAACTCTTTTCGCTGAGAAAATAAAGCAAGATTCTTTGGTATGTTTGCTCTCTCGTGCAGCCTCACAACATGGGTAGGTTTTGTTCCTCTCCTTTTTCCCTTGTCACATGTACACAATAAGCTACTTATTTTCATTTGATTTTTTTTGTGATAAAACTCCTGTGAAAGTTGAGGGTGAGGCTATTATCTGTACCTCCATTTAGCAAATACCTGGTACCTCGTTGGTTTCACAAATATTTGGTGAATAGTTTAATAAACATTTGCAGATTGGGTGAACACCCTGTGTATAACATGGACACCCCGATTATATGCCTTCCTAAATTTCCTTCTTGTGCTGTGTCTATAAGCTTTCCTGCTATAACCTCAAAAACATAATACCTAACAAAAGCAACAATGATGATGGCTGTTTTAGCTAAGTGTTTGTCCTTCAATAGGGCATGTGCTTTAAGCTATTTCTTCTAGAGTTGAAAGTTTTGATTTTGTTTTCCTCCAGAGCCATCTTCATTTCATTAACTTTCCTTTCTGTAGCTAAGGGCAGCAGTTTGTGTCTGTGGCCGTGGAACCTTCAATGTGTGTAAGAAGGGAACTGCTTTGCATGGTAGGTGTGGCAGTAGTGGTAACAGCAGCAGCAATGACATCATTTATTTATTGAGTACCCAATTTGTGCCAGGCATTATAATAGGTGGGAAAAACACTGTTGGCAAAGGTAAGGCCAGGTTCTCGTAACAAAGGGACATAATGATAATTGAGTAGCTTCAAAGGAGATAGACATTTATTTCTTTTTCACTGATTGTGTAATGTATGTACCAGGTGGGTGGGTGACTCCACTCCATGCTGTTATTCAGGGCCCGGATTCTTTCCATGGTGTTGCTCCACCGCCCCTCAGGCCTTCACAAGAAGTGGAAAAAGGAGCCCAGCAGGGCCAGCCCACAGTCTCAAGGCTTAGCTCCAGAAGCAGTTCCCAACTCTTTCACTTCCACTCAGTTGGAGCGAACTTAGTCACGTAGCTGTGCCTGATTCCAGGGGTTGGGGGAGGAACTGGGAAACGTAGTTCAGGCCTGTGCCCTGGGAGCAAGGGAGAACAGATGTTGGTGAACACCTAGCAATATTCACCACATCCTGCAATGTGCAGATTATTCTGTACACTTTCCAGATGATGAATTAGAAATTTGAGAGGTTAATTAACTCAACTTGCCCTAGATGATGAGGTTGTAAGGGGGAGGTGCAGATTCTAATTCTGTTATATCTGATTTAAAAATCTGTGCTCTTTTCACCACCGTGATACCATTGAACACTGTGTTGTTGTCATAGAGCCATGTGGAGTTTACAGAGGAAATTCACATATGTTAACTTGCTTATGGCTTCAGGAGCAGGTCTCCCACCACCAGACTTACCTAGCCAGCTAAGGTGTCTCAGGACTTGGTATCCGAATGAAAATAGAGTGCAATTCTAATCTATCAAAAACTGGTTTTCTTGCCTGCTTTTAGGAGACAGGAGTAAGAATAATGAAAACAGTCTTGTACCAGGGACTTACATCCTAGGGCATGGTCTGTTGTCAGAATACATTCAGATCAGTGCCCCCTTCCCACTTGGTTCAGTTATAGTGAGGCATCAGTGGTGCCCGAGACATGGCAAGATCAGCAGTGACTATAGGTGACTAGACTCTGTACAGCGTAGTGTTTGCTTCAGACTCTGCAAAGCTGGGCTTTGGAGTTTGAATCTTTTACTCACTGACCAGGTATGTAGCTGTGGACAAGTTTCTTAATCTTCCTAAATCTGAGATTCCTCAACTGTAAGGCAGGATTTGTTAGCCTCCTTCACAGAGTTGTTTTAAGTGTTAGTGATCATGTAAGCAAAGGGCCTCCCACAAAGCAGCATCTGGTTAAATGACAGCTGCTATTTTTAAAAAAATAAACCCACCAACCATGAATTGAGTGACTGCTATGTACCAGGCACCAAGGTAGGCTCCAGAGATTTAGAGATAAAAGGTAGAGTCCCTGCGGCCTTCAAGGGACATCCCCGTTAGTGGGGATGTTTCAGAGAGAACAACCTAAGCTCAGGTTTTCCCTCAGGAAGAAGAATGCGTTCTAACCAGACGAGAGCGTGTGCGTTCTCTTAATAGATTGTATAAACTGAAATTGTGCAATAGCCAGTTTGGGTGCAATGAGCTACTCAAATGACACATTGATTTTTTTTTTTAATTATACTTTAAGTTCTGGGATATGTGTGCAGAACAGTGCAGCTTTGTTACATAGGTATACACGTGCCATGGTGGTTTGCTGCACCCATCAACCCGTCATCTACATTAGGTATTTCTTCTAATGCTATCTCTCCCCTAGCCCCACCTCCAGACAGGCCTTGGTGTGTGATGTTCCACTCCCTGTGTCCACGTGTTCTCATTGTGCAACTCCCACTTAAGAGTGAGAACATGTGGTGTTTGGTTTTCTTTTCCTATGTTAGTTTACTGAGAATGATGGTTTCCAGCTTCATCCATGTCCCTGCAAAGGACACGAACTTATCCTTTTTTATGGCTGCATAGTATTCTGTGGTGTATATGTGCCACATTTTCTGTATCTAGTCTATCACTAATGGACATTTAGATTGGTTGCAAGTCTTTGCTATTGTGAATAGTGCCGCAATAAACATATGTGTGCATGTGTCTTTATAGTAGAATGATTTATAAGCCTTTGGGTATATACCCAGTAATGGGATCACTGGGTCAAATGGTAATTCTAGTTCTAGATCCTTGAGGAATCACCACACTGTCTTCCACAATGGTTGAACTAATTTACACTCCCACCAGTAGTGTAAAAGTGTTCCTATTTTTCCACATCCTCTCCAGCACCTGTTGTTTCCCTACTTTTTAATGATCACCATTCTAACTGGTGTGAGATGGTATCTCACTGTGGTTTTGATTTGCTTTTCTCTGACCAGTGATGATGAGCTTTTTTCATAATTTTTGGCCACATAAGTGTCTTCTTTTGAGAAGTGTCTGTTCATATCCTTCACTCACTTTCTGATGGGGTTGTTTTTTTTCTTGTAAATTTAAGTTCCTTGTAGATTCTGGATATTAGCCCTTTGTCATATGGATAGATGGCAAAATTTTTCTCCCATTCTGTAGGTTGCCTGTTTCCTCTGATACTTTTCTTTTGCTGTGCAGAAGCTCTTTAGTTTAATTAGATCCCATTTGTCAATTTTGGCTTTTGTTGCCATTGCTTTTGGTGTTTTAGACATGAAGTCCTTGCCCATGCCTATGTCCTGAATGGTATTGCCTAGGTTTTCTTCTAGGGTTTTTATGGTTTTAGGCCTAACATTGAAGTCTTTAATCCATCTTGAATTAATTTTTGTATAAGGTGTAAGGAAGGGATCCAGTTTCCCCTTTCTACATGTGGCTAGCCAGTTTTCCAACACCATTTATTAAATAGGGAATTCTTTCCCCATTGCTTGTTTTTGTCAGGTTTGTCAAAGATCAGATGGTTGTAGATGTGTGGTATTATTCCTGAGGCCTCTGTTCTGTTCCATTCGTCTATACGTCTGTTTTGGTACCAGTACCATGCTGTTTTGGCTGCTGTAGCCTTGTAGTACAGTTTGAAGTCAGGTAGCATGATGCCTCCAGCTTTGTTCTTTTTGCTTAGGATTGTCTTAGCTATATGGGCTCTTTTTGGGCTCCATATGAAATTTAAGTAGTTCTTTCTATTTCTCTGAAGAAAGTCAACATTGACATTTTTATATGTTGTTTTAATAGTCTTTATGATAAATGTCAACAAAAATAATACTTTTTAGAGACACTTGGTTTTTATACACACTTAGAGAGGTAATAAAATCTGCCACTAATGCTAATAGCATTCTGATGGAGTGAAGACTTAGTGGTATGTCAAAAAGTAAGGCACCTTTCTCTTTTCCTAATGTAGTTTGAATTTCAAAACAACACGAAGGAATGCTGTTGGTATTTATTCAGGGATTTGTGTGCAGATTTGATAGCTACCATTTATCTTCAGCAGAGGAATCCGTGTTCCTGGCCTTTCCCCCCTTGGTTAGTTTGGATTTCCTCAAACCACTTTGCCCTTTGAAGGATTGTGTGCTGTTAAGTAAATGAACGGGTATGTTTCTGAGTTTGTGCTGACTGATTTACAACAGGATGGCAAATTCAGCACTGAAAACAGGGTCAGACAAATACCCTGGCTATGAGACTCAGCTGACTCAGACAAGCGAGGCTTTGCTTAGTGGTTTTTACCCCTCCAGTAGAGAAAAGTCTTGGCTAAGGCCTCAAAGGCCTGTGGACTGGAAGGTCTGGCAGAACAGTGTCCATGTCATTATTGTTAGTAGAAGTTGTGCAGTTGTATTGTTGCTGATGGTCTCACTAACACTAGCTATCTTTTATGTTCTAGCCACTGAAGAGTCATTAATTATTGTGGTTCATTCTCACAGCAAACCCGTGTTGATTTTCATTGATCCCAGGCTCTCAATTTAAATAAGAAAGCTAGCAAAGTTATTTTCTTTTGCCTCCCCTTCTGGCTTAACAAAGAGAACTCAGAAGTACTTACGTTTTGAGAAAATAGAGACCCATTTAAATAGTGTTACCAGAGTGACACATTATTAACTAAGAAAATCAGAATTACATACTTTTTAGAGGTTGCCTCCACAGGACACAGTGGTAATCTCTGAAGCCTGGAGGTCTCATAGCCCTATGATGCAGAATATTATCAATGATAGGAAGAGAAAGCATTGCCTCCTTAACAGTGTACGGAGGCATCTTCCACCAGCACTGGGAACTAAGCCTCCACTGATGAACGGCACAGGAGAAAGACACAGACCTGAGAAGGCTGAAATTTACAACGCGGGAAAGACGAGGGCAGCACAGAATTATTAAATGGAATATGGGAAACGCGTGGTTTGTGTCTACAGTCCACACTTGCAACACAGGTACCATTGTGTCCATTGTATAGAGGAGAAAACTCAGTTCCAGAAGACTTGAGTAACTTGCCCCGAGTCACAAGATTCAAAGATGCCAGACCAGGGAGCTAAATCCATGAATATCTGGCTTTAAAGTCCTTGCCTTTTCTTTACCTCACAGTGGTTTACATGAGGTGCATTGTTACTCGTACACTGAATTTCCTTCACTACCTGCCTTTTTCAATATAAGGTGAATTCTGCATCATTTTGTTGAAATGGAAAGTTCTAACCATTATTGTTTTAATATAGGAGGCACTTGGGCCTTGAAGGAGAGTTGTCATTCCAGTAGTCTGGTAAAGGGCATTTCAGATGGAAGACACAGCCTAGGCAAAGGCACTGAGGTGAGAACGCTGCAGCTTAGTCAGGGAATGGAGAATAGATTCATTTGAGGAGAACTGAGTGTCTCAGTAGATGGGGGTTATATCATGAGAAGGACGTGAGAGCCTCAGCATGGAGCTGGTGAGCAGAGGGGGGCCATTTTTGAGGGGGGGATTAAAGTGCTCAGATCTGTGGTCTAACGCTGTTCTGACAGCAGTGTGTAGATTGAAACAGAGTAGAGATAAATTGAGGGGGAAGTAGCATTATCTATATAAACTGTCAGCGAGTAGAGAAATCTGGATTTTCATGTATTTCGTTCAGGGAACAGTAACTTTCCCATAGGTATTTCCCAGGGTTGTGAATAAATATTGTAGTGTACTGGTCAAGGATGCAAAGTTTGGGGAAGTTAGGAACATCCTTAAGCCACAAAGTGGATGCTCAAAAGTTAAATATTCACTGGAAGTGACAAGTAAGCAATGGAAATATGAAAATAATAGTTCACGCCACTCTCCTGCCTGTTGCCTTAAATTATTCCACTGAAAGCTGCTTTCTGCTATTTTATTTGGGTAAATTAGTCGCAAATGGAATTATCTGCATTTAATGCTCTGCCGTTATCCCTCTGTTTAGGTTTTTGTCTCTGTTCCTTTAATAAGAAGCAATTCTTGGGTTATGTCTGCCCTCTGGTCTGAGGGCTCCAGGAAGCATCCCAGTCATGAACCTTCCAGTTGAACTAAGTCTGTTCCAGATGCTTCATTGACTCAACACATTTCACACTAGGTAGACACCGGAAGTAATCACAGGCCAGCCTTTCTTGCCTCTCAGGCTGAAACAAGTTCACAGTGCAACAGCTTTTCAGAGACAACTCCACACTTCCACAAATGCCCCTATGCATTTGACTTTTCTTGGATGGCTTGTTCACAATCACTCAGCAGTTACTGATCATAGGTTTGTGCCTGGCATTGTCTGAGTTGATAGGAAGGTCTACATGTGAAAATTTAGGATTTTGAATTTAGGATATTGAACTTCTTTTCAACTTATCTGGTAAGTTGCCCATAACTTTAAAGACAAATAGAAAATACTTTTTTGAAACATTCAGTCAAATTTGAAATGACCATGTTCCTGCCAGACAGTGAAATATATTATAAAGCCAGATTAATAAAGATAATATGGTATTACAATACCATGTAAGAATAAGAATTGTGATGGAATAGAGAGATTTCTACCTCTTTCTTCTCTCAGAAATCATCCATCACCATAGAATGGCAAGGAGAATGAGGAATGGAAAAACAAATTCTACTTTTGATGGAATCAAAAGTCATTATAACACATTGATCAATAATGAAGACAAAAAGCAGTTGGAGTTCTGATGACTGAATTAACAGTGGGGAGCTAGGTGGGATCTGAGTGCCTACAGTGGTGGATATCGATGAGAAGCAAGCATATTTCCTGCTCAGAAAGGCTCAGAAATTAATGAAGTGAGGTCCTGAGGGGGGATAGGTTCATATGGGGACCTTAAAAGAAAAGGAGTATTTGAAAGACTGCATCAGATCCTCCCCTGTACTCCCTACAGCCTTGAATGTGCCTGCTCATCTTCAGAGTGACGGTTTCTGGAGAGGGGCCCTGAGCACCAGGCACAGCAGAGGTTGGGGGTAGAAAGGAAATAAGGACTCGAGATGATCTGAAAGCCTGTCTTCCCAAGGGCCAGATCTTGAGCACTCTGGTTGATATTCTCCATGAATTAAGTAATGTTTTTAAAAATCAGCCTGTAGAAAAGATTAGAAGGAAATAGTCCATGATTTTAGTCATGATTGGAGAACTTTTGTTGATTTATTTTTCTTTTTGCCTTTGTTTTTCACATTTAATTTAATGTGTGCATACCATGTTATGCTAGAAAATAGCAAAATTGGGTCTGGCATCGTGATGTGCGCCTGTAATCCCGGCCCTTTGTGAGGCCAAGGTGGGAGGAGTTCTTGAGGCCAGGAGTTCAAGACCAGCCTGGGAAACATAATGAGACCTCATCTCTACGAAGAAACTGAAACATTAGCCAGGCATAGTGGCAGGCGTCTGTAGTTCTAGTGGGGAGGCTGAGGTAGGAGAATTGCTTGAGCCTAGGAATTCGAGGTTACAGTTGGCTGTGATGGCACCACTGTACTTCAGGCTGGGCAACAGAGTGAGACCCTGTCTCTAAAAGAAAGAGAGAGAGAGAAGGAGAGAAGGAAAATAGCAAAATAATGCGGAAAAATAATTATGATGAAGAAGAAAGAAGGTAAATGTTTATCAAGGCTTAGTTGTGTAAAAATCCTTTAAAAAATTAATAAACTTTTTATTTGAGAACCGTTTTATGTTCACAGCAGAATTGAGCATAGAGGTTTCCCATATAACCCTTGGCCATTCCCTGCCCCACCCCTATCTCCCATCATCATAAACATCCCAAACCAGATTGGTACATTTGCTAAAGTCGATGAACCTACATTGACACATTATCTCCCAGACTCCCGAGTTGACATTAGGGCTCACCCTTGGTGTTGTGCATCCTGTGAGTTTGCACAAATGTAGAATGGCATGTCTTCACTGTTAGAGCGTCATACAGACTTTTTTCACTGCCCCCAAAATCTTTCATGTTCCACCTGTTCATCTCTCCCTCCCCTCTCATCTCTGGCCACCATTGATCTTTTTACTATCTTCATACTTTCGCCTTTTCCATAATGTCATACAGTTGAAATCATACCGTATAAAGTGTTTCAGATTGGCTTCTTACACTTAGTAATATGCATTTAAGGTTCTACCATGTCCTTTGATGGCTTGATGACTAATCTCTGTTTAGTGATGAATAATCTGTTGTCTAGATGTACCACAGTTTACCTGTTCACCTACTGAAGGACATCTTGGTTGCTTCCAAGTTTTGGAAATTATGAATAAAGCTGGATTTTATATGATACTGTTTTCTCTCCTTTATTAGCATATTAATTATACTTCTTTTTACTTTTTAAAATGGTTGCCGTAGAGTTTGCAATATACACTTACTACTAATCCAAGTCCATTTTCGAATAACATGAAACTGCTTTATCAGTAGTGCAAATATCTTATAATAACAAAATATTCCCAATTCTTCCCTCCCATCTTTGGAATCATCACTGTCATTCATTTCACTTATACATAAGCATATATATGCATACGTAATTGAGTACATTGTTGCTATTATTTTGAAAAAGATATTGTGTGTTGATCAATTAAGAATAAGAAAACAAAAGTTTTTCTTTTACCTCCACTGAAGTATGTTCTTCTTCCCTCTGGGGTATTTTTTTAAATATTTTTTTTCTTTATCTTTGATTTTCTTAGTTGTAAATATGATATGCCCAGAGGTAGTTTTCCTGGCATCCTGCTTAGTGTTCTCTAAGCTTCATGGATCTGTGGTTTGGTGTTTGACATTAATTTGGGGAATTTCTCAGTCATTATTGTTTTGAATATTATTTCTTCTGTTCCTTTCCCTCTTTATTCTCTTTCTAATATTCCCATTATATGTATGTTACATCTTTCATAGTTGTCCTACAGTTCTTGGATATTCTTTTTTTTTTTTTACAATCTTTGTTCTCTTTGCTTTTTCATTTCAGAAGTTTCTGTTGTCGTATCCTCAAGCTGAGATTTTTCCTCAGTTGTGTTCAGTCTCCTAATAAGTTGGTCAAAAGGATTATTCAAGTCTGTTAAAATGATTTTGATCTCTAGCATTACTTTTGCTTTCTTAGAATTTTCATCTGCTTATACTTATCTGTTCTTTCATGTCCTTTTTTCATTAAAGCCTTTAGCTTATTCATCATTTTCAAAAATTTTCTTGTCGAATGATTCCAATATTTCTGCTGTATCTGACTATGATTCTGATGCTTGTTCAATCTTTTCACACTGTGTTTTTTGCCTTTTAGTATGTCTGGTAAGTTTTTGCTGAAAGACGGATGTCATGATGTACTGGGTAAAAAGAATTGTGAATGGGTCTTTAGTGATGTGGTGGTAAATCACTGGGGAGTGATACTGTTTGGATGTTTTGTCCCCTCCGAAGCTTATGTTGAAATATGACCCCCAGTGTTGGAGGTGGGGCCTGGTGGGAGGTTTTGGATCATGGGGGTGGACCCCTCATGCATGGCGTGGTGCCTTCCCCTTGGTGATGAGCAGGTTCTTGCTCTGTTAGTTCACACAAGAGCTGGTTGTTAAGAGTCTGGCTCTCCTTCCCTTTTCTTGCTCCCTCCATCACCATGTGACATGCTGGCCCCTCTTTGCCTTCTGCCATGATGGTGAACTTCCTGAGGCCCTCATCAGAAGCAGACGCCTACACTCTGCTTCATGTATGGCCTGCAGAGCCGTGAGCCAAATAAATCTCTTTTCTTTGAAAATTAGCCAGCATTGGTTACGTCTTTATAGCAAATGCAAAGTGGACTAACTCAGAATGGAATTGTTCTCCTGTAGTCCTGTGAGTGGGTCTCAGTCTTCTAGTGAGCCCATGACCCTGGACTGTGAGCTTCACTCAGTGCTTCTCAGTTTGTTTGTTTGTTTTCTTGTGGGACAGGATGACTAGAGTGGACTGGAGTTGGGTATTTTCCTTCCCCAGGTAGGTTAGGCTCTGCCAAAGCCCCAGCAAGTTAGGGTCTGGTTAGTTTCTCTGGAGGGCAAAACCTTGTTAAGAACATAATTCTCTGGTGTTTTTTTCTTTTTCTTTTTTCCTTTTCCTATGGTGCTGATCTCTGGTGTTTTTTCAAAATGGTCCTTTTCCTCCTTTTTCCACTGGAAGCATAAGGGAATTTTTCTCTGATACTCACTGCGAGGCCCTGCTAGAGCTCCTGGAAAAAAAAAAACTCACAAAAGCTTATCCCTCCCTACTCCCCATGATGGGCACCTCTGGAGTTTTAAACTCGAAGAGTTGTTCATTCTAGACCCCCAGCAGTATGTCGAGTACAATTGAGGTTTCTACCGGGTACTGATTTCCATGGAGGTTTCTGTTGTAGTAAGTTGCAATGCTCTGTATGCGCCCCTCTGTCTCTCTAGTCTTGGGGGCAGCAGCTTGCCCTGTGACCTTATTTCTTTGGCAGATCTAAGAATTTTTTTTTAACACTGTATATTGAGAAATTATAGTTGTGTATATTTATAAGATGCAAAGTGGTATTGTGAGTTTTTAATACAATGTGGAATAATTAAATTAAGCTAATATATCTAGCATCTCAAATGTGTAAGAAGAATGGTTGATTTTTTAGTTTGTTTAGCTTTTTACTTGTTGTTAGGATGGAATGGTGACTTCTAAGCTTCTTACATACCAGATCAGAAGCCAGAAGTCTCATCCTGTTTTTAAAAACAGGACTTTGAACATTTTTATTTTTCTTAGTGTGCTAAGAAAATAATGCCAGCGGCAGTAACTGCACGGCAATCCAGTGGTCTCTAGTCTTATAAGAGCTTATAAAGAAAGGCTTCGTGTCTTACCTGATAAACTCCCCTTGACTGTTTTACAGTTAAGTGAAACCCCAATTTCTGGCAAGATCTGAAACTTGGTTTTTCTTTTTTGTTGCCTGTTTAAAATATCAGAAGTAAGCCCGTGAAAGCTATTAACATGTATTCAGGCCGACTTTGGTTTCTCCTCTATGGATGTTTCTAGAAACATAGTGAAACAACACAGCAATGATTGGTTTTGCGGTTGTTGAGGTCAAACCTTGGCACAAGATTTTTGGTCTCTGTTTTCTCTTTATTGTTCGACGCAACCCACATGCAGGTTTGTTTCTCCATCTCTTCACCTCATCTGGCTGACATGTTGATAGGAGCTTAGCCAGGCTGTCTGGCCACGAAACCTAAAATCATATGGCTTGTTTAGTTGGTAAGGACATGGAGGAATAAAATAACCATGTGGACGGCACTGTGCAAGGTCTTCAATGACAGAGGCGTTGAACTTCAGGCAGAGTTTAGCGATCATCTCAACCGTGTCCTTGTTTCACAATTCTGGGATCAACATCCGCAAAACTACACTTCTGACAACATCAGGATCCTCTAATATTTCATGTATACTCATCTTGCAAGATAGGTTGTAAAATAAGATGAGGAACCTGAAACAATGAGCAGTTAAGCCACTTGCGTCAAGTCCCAAGGGTGGCAGGAAAAACAGAGCAAGGAGTGAGATTGATTACTTGCAGCCTTTGGATTTCACCATGAAGTTGGTGGTTTTTAAATGGTTTTTTCTCCCCTAACATCGACCTTTCTCCAGTCAAATGGTGGGAAACCTCACATGTAAAACAGATGAAATACAGCTGCTGGCTCACGTGGGAGGCTGTGTCATGTGGTATGATGTTTAGAAGGAGGGTCTTGGAAGCCAGGCTGCTCTGAGCCTCAGTTTGCCCATCTGCAAAGTGAGGATAACTACTATACGTGCCTCACAGGGTTACCGTGGAAATCAGCGAAATCAGTTCCCAGCTGTAATAACCGTGCAGTTTATTCAGTCAAAAAACTTTTATCCGGCAGCTTACTGTATTCTGGGCCCTGTTAAAAGGACGAGGTGATGGCTGTGAGGAAACAGGAATCCCGGCTTTCATGGAGCCTACATTCTCAGTCTCAAAATACATGTTAATTATAGTAACATGTGTCGAAGGGGCATCAGACCCCTCCTATTGATACCTCCTCTGTGTGTCTGGCTCTAAAGGTTCCTTAGAGCACTGTGTGAAAACCACTGTCCTAGGCTACACATCTTAACATCTAGGATGTTTTTAAGAGCTGGAGTGGGGAAAAAAAATGGAATTATATGACAGTGTTTAAATTTTCCATTACTGACATAAACTATTCCAGAAACAACAGGTAGAAGAGAAGGATGATTTAGGCCTCCAGTTTGGAGAGTAATTAGTGACTTGTCTGCTTTTCCTTCCTTAGTCATCTTGAGCACTTGCAGCTGTGCATCTTCCTTTGTGCCTGATGCAAGCTGATATTTTAGGGTGAAAGGGTGAGAAGGAAATTTAGATTCAAAGTGCTGACAAGATAAAGTACATTCTGTAAAGATTCATTCCCCTTAAAATTGGAGTTCTTACCGAGATATCTTCACTTAGCAGACTGATGTCAGGAAAGTAAAAAATGGAAGGGAACTTTGTGGTTGAAAATTATGTTCCTAGAAATGAGGGTTGACCCTGTTTCTATGAGAAGAGAGAGCATGTGCGGCTCTGCTGATGGGTACAGAGAAGTGCCTTTGTGGTAGCGCCCAAGGGAGAATGCAGAGTAGACCACCATCTCTACTCTGATTGTTTTCAATTCTTTCTCAGATGCCTACAAACATTTAAACCTTGTCTGACTCTGCCTTCCCTTGGTAGTTTTAAGGCATATGGAAGAATTTCAACAAACTGAATTGATTTGGGGGAGAAGGAGGTTAGATTTTTTTTTAAATGTTGCCATTTTAAGGAGCTAGATAATATACAAGAGACCTTTGGCCTTCGGCCTTCCTGTGGAATAGGTCCCGAGGGAGTTATGAACTTCCAAATGTGAAAATGCCTATGTAATTATTTTTCTCTCTGTGAAAAATGCAAAGTATATCTGAAAAAGTTAAGTAATTCCTCTAGATGTGTAACGATTCTATAAATTCAGGATTAAAGTAATTTATAAGGCTAATTTATGCCATTTATTTATTTATTTATTTATTTAGAGACAGAGTCTGGTTTCTGTCACCCAGGCTGGAGTGCAGTGGCATGGTCTCAGCTCACTGCAACCTCCACCTCCCAGGCTCAAGTGATCCTCCCACCTCAGCCTCCTCAGTAGCTGGGACTATAGGCACACACTACCACACCTGACTAATTTTTGTGTCTTTTTTTCGTAGAGATGGGGGTTTTCCCATGTTACCCAGGCTGGCCTCGGCCTTCTAAGTGCTGGGATTACAGGTGTGAGCCACTGTGCCCAGCCCTATGCCCATTCTTTAGTGCTGGTAATAGAAATGAACCAATCTATCAGTTGGTTTTCATGTCGGGGTCATTTTCAGGCAGAAAAATAGATTGTTGTCCCTTGACCTAAATTGTCTGCTTTCATAACAGAAAGCCAATGATAACAAAGCCATGTGAATCAGTCTTTTCCTGTGGAGTCAACCTTACAACAAGGAGGATTCAAACATCTTCAGTGAAGTAGCAAATGATTACATATCACAGATCTTTGCATCAAGCAAGGTCAAGTATGCACGTGTTAACTCAGTGAATTCTAAGTATCTGATTAAATTTTGTAAGTCAATGCCAATTTCCCTTTGGACTCAGAGTTTACCTGCATAATTTTGTTTTATTAATATTTTAAAATAAAAAGATATGTGGCCGAGCACATGTGGCTCACACCTGTAATCCCAGCACTTTGGGAGGCTGAGGCTGGTGGATCATTTGAGTCACGAGTTTGAGAGCAGCTTGGGCAACATGATGAAACCTTGTCTCTACAGAAAATGGAAAAAGTTAGCCGGGCATGGTGGCACACACCTGCAGTCTCAGCTACTCAGGAGGCTGAGGTAGGAAAATCACTTGAGCCTGGGAGGTCCAGGCCACAGTGAGCTGTGACGGCACTACCATACTACAGCCTGGGCAACAGAGCAAGACCCTGTCTCAAAAATGAAAAAAGAAAAGTGATGTTGTCCAGTGAACTAAAAAAACAGAGATTTTACTCATTTTGTTCTGTGAATGTTATGCTTTATTTAGAGAAATGAGCCATCAAACAGGGAAGACAGCACTGGTATAAGATGAGCTGGCAGAGACCTTCAGGTGGTCACAAGAGAACACAGTGAGCAATGGGAAAATAAGGCAATTCTCTTAGCACTGGAAGGCGTTTAACAGACCATCTAGTTGGTCAGCTCCCCCTAGCTTACCTTTCACCCTTTGTTTTATAAATAGGGAAACTGAGATGAAATCACCCAAGACTTTTGGGACTGTCTACCAAAAATCACACAACCAAGTCAGAGCCAGAACCCAGGTTTTCTAACTATGATAGTTGTGTTACTGTTGTGCCATCCTGTCTTCTGAGATGTTGGCCCATCTTCATCAGAAAACTTTGATCTGGAGCTGTCGGGAGCCGTAGAATAACAGAGCAAGCATGGATGTCTTGGCTTGCCTAACACTGCTCCTCACTTAGTGTAAAGAGCTCTTGGCCGGGCATGGTGGCTCATGCCTGTAATCCCAGCCCTTTGGGAGGCTGAGGCAGGTCAATCACTTAAGGCCAGGAGTTTGAGACCAACCTGGCCAGAGTTTGTTTGTTTGTTTTTTGTTTGTTTGTTTGTTTGTTTTTTGAGAAACTCCATCTCTCCTTAAAAAAACAAAAACAAAACCCAAAAAATTAGCTGGACATGGTGGCACACGCCTATAATCCCAACTACTTGGGAGGCTGAGACGTGAAAATCGCTTGAACCTGGGAGGCGGAGGTTGAAGTGAGCTGAGATCATGCCACCAAACTCCAGCCTGGGAGACGGAATGAAACTCTGTTTCAAAAAAACCAAACAACAACAAAAAAGAGTTCTTAATGCTCCTGAAAGTTATTATCTAGCCTCTGCTTAAATACTGGTTCATGAGATAGCCCACTCCCCCAGGGTGGTGATCCCAGATATACTACCCTTTGATTTCTGTCCCAGTTCTTCTATTTGGGGTCTGGAGCACCTATGATGTGTCAGTCACTGTACTATATGAAAGAGATACAAAGTAGGATAAAATGTAGCTTCTTCTTTCTAGGAATAACCCTAGTAGTAAAAGAAACAGACAAGTAAATCAGCAATGATGGTTCAGTGGGGTAAGTGGTATTGTTAGGGGTATGTACTTTGCTACGGAGGAGGAGAACCTAAATCAGACTGGAGAATGAGGAAAAGCTTCCTGAAGGAGGCAACCCTTGAGCTAAGTTTTGGAGTAGGAGATAGATGAAGCAAGAGAAAGGGCAGTCACACGAATGAAAGAGCCTGTGGAAAGTACATTCATCAGCACAGCACTTTAGAAAATGGTGTATGGTGTTCTGTAGGGCTGGAAAAAGGGAGATTTGTGGCCGGTGATGAGAGGAAGGGTGAGGAAAGGATGCAGAGGCCAGATTGTGAAGGGCCTTCATGGATAAGCAGTCTGCATCGTGTATGATTGTATTGTCAGAATGTTATTTTATAGCTCATTCCTCTTAAGATGCTTTCAGATTTAACTTGTCCTGCTTTGGAACATGAGGATCAGAAAAACCTGGATTCAATATCTGGCACCACTTAAGCCTCTTTGAGCCTTAGAAGCCTCGTTTGTGAAATGAGGGTGATAGTAGCTTCTCCCAACTTTCGTGGTAAAAAAAGAATCTAGACAGGCACCTCATAAAGTGCTGGGCTCATTGCAGATAGAAAACCCGCTTGTTTCTCCCCCCCGCTTTTTTTTTCTCAAAGTCTCTGAATAATTACATTCAGCGTCCCTACCTTGTCTGCTAGGAGTTCTAACATTAGATTAACATTTTCTTGCAAGAATTCTGTCATTTTTTAAACCTAACCACACAATTCTACATTTTGGAGTGAAGGTAAGCCCAAAGTAAAGGTTTCCCTTATTACTTTTTATGGCTTGATAGAGAAAATAATGAGGAAGGTAAGTTATGACTTTTCCACATATCCTGTTTTACCAGGCCAAGAGTTAGATGATGAGGATACTCAGAAGGCAAAGAAAGTAGACAAAAGGTCAGGGAAGCTATTTAATTTGGTTGACGTATATGGAGGAAACAGTACTGATATGACAGATACGTTTTGTTTGAAAAAGCATTTTGTGCCTACTCAAGTATAGACACAATATATCCTGAGCAGCGAGTGGGCATGAATCCAAGCGGGTGTAAGAAATACAGCAACGCTAGGGAAGATTCAGAAAAGAAAGAGTTGAGTTATTTTAGTGAAATGATAGCTCAAGTTAGAGAAGTGCATGCTGAGAGAAACGTTGACGTTAAAGAGTAAGGACTGGCCACATTTTAATTTCCTCTAAGGATCTTTTCTAAGAGAGGAGAAAGAAATGTTACAGTGGAAGTGAGTGTAGTAGGTGATGGGAAAGGGAAAGGGGGAAGATTGAATATTGAAAACAGGAATGAAGGAAAGGGTGACATGTCAGCTTTATTTTTACTTCTATTGTGTGTCAAAGCGATGGTCTTTCTTTTTTTAGCTAGTCAGGTCTAAACTGTAATAAAATGAAGTCAGAGTGAGATGAACCGAATAATACTCAATTTCATGGAAAATCTTATCTGTAGTTGGCAGTCGTCTCTTTACTTTTGGATTTAATTCCTTTTCATCATTTTCTGTATCAGTTCTTTTGAGAGTAGTTGGCTGGTGCTGCAGATGAATACATGCCTATTGGTGGTTTGGTATAATTTGTCTTACATTGCATCTTCACTGGCAGTGTTAGCCTGATGATTCGTTTCTAGTTTAGCAAAATGAGAATTAGTTTAATAAGATGTTGAGATGGTGATCAGTTTTCCAGGGGTTTGGTTCTGCTCAAGAGCTGGCATCCAATATGCCAAAAAGGCAATAAGCAGGGTGGATCAACTGCCTTAAGATGGGTATGCAATGTTCAAACCAAAGGATGGCATAGTGAGAGACAAATCATTGCTCCAACAGAATGGAAGAAGTTGCTGGAAGATGACTTCGCTGGCAGGCAAGGAAGGAAATCAAGAAGTCAGTTTTTACCACCATCACTAAACCCTTCCCAGAGTACCGAAGCAGGCTCATACCCAGGGGAGTAGGGGAGTAGTACAGGAGGAGGAGGAGAAGTAGAAGGAGGGAGACAAAGACAGGGAGAGGGAATTAGCTGAGGCTGGGGAGACAGAGAGTCACAAGAGAAGAAAGGAATTCTTGTGAACTACAGTGGTTTGTAGGACTCAAAAGTAAGCAGGTGGAATTAACCTCATAAAAAATAATGCTCTGCCTGCCTCGCTAGGGGTAGGCACCCAACACGTCACACGTCCTGTTTTGCTCCCTCACTTGTGTCAGCTCAGATTATTTCCTGCCTGTCCACTGCTAGCCTTTTGTGGCTGAATATCAGATCTTGACTGAGCATCTGAGCATGTGCTGGCCTCTATGGATGAGGAAGCCACAATGAATCAGACATAACTTTTCTTCTCAAATTCGTTTATCTTAAAAAGCATTTATTGTAGAGAGTATACTATGTGCCATATACATTAGTAGGTGCTAGTATAGAAAATACCAAGAGGCTGAATACTGTGGCTCACGCCTATAATCCCAACACTTTGGGAGGCCCAGGCAGGAGGATTGCTTGATCCCAGGAGTTTGAGACCAGCCTGGGCAACAAAATGAGACCCCATCTCTGAAAAATGAAAAAATAGAAAATAATGTTATCTATTTGTATAACCTAGTAATGAACATAGGGTCATTTGTAATTTTTTGCATTTACAAACAGTGTTCCTATGGAAATTCTCTTCATAAGCGCCTCCTAGAAGACACATCAAGAGGTCTGTCAGCTATAAACTATAGCAACATGCATCAACATAAATGAATCTTAGGATATAATGTTGAGCCAAAAAAAAAAAAAACCCAAAACAAATTGCAAAATCATCAATGCAGTATGATTCCATCTGTAAGTAGCCAAAAGTATGCAAAGCTAAACATACAATATGTTGCTTAGTGCCTCCTTATCCATGGGGGATACATTCCAGTACCCCAGAGGGTGCCTGACACCATGGATAGTACTGAACCTCATGTATACTGTTTTTTCTTATGTATACATACTTACAATAAAGTTTAATTTATAACTTAGGCACAGTAGATTAACAACAATAATACTAAAATAGAACAATTATAACAATATACTGTACTATCTATACTCAGGTATCAGGTAAATCTATTTGGATGTAGGAAAGTTTCTTGAAGGAGGTGACATTTAAGCCGGATCCTAAAGGATGAATAAAATTATGAGCGATCGCAGTAGTGAAAAAGATATTTTTAAAAGAGGAAACTATGAATAAAGATATAAAAGCTATGACCTGGCAATCATATGCCAAAAAAAAAGAAAAGACATAAAACCACATGGGCGGCCAGGCGCGGTGGCTCATGCCGGTAATCCCAGCACTCTGGGACGCCAAGGCAGGAGATCGAGACCATCCTGGCTAATGCGGTGAAACCCCGTCTCTACTAAAAAATACAAAAAAAAATTAGCCAGGTATGGCGGCGGGCACCTGTAGTCCCAGCTACTCAGGAGGCTGAGGCAGGAGAATGGCGTGAACCCGGGAGGCGGAACTTGCAGTGAGCTGAGATCGCGCCACTGCAGTCCAGCCTGGGCGACAGAGCGAGACTCAAACAAAAACAAAAACAAAACACCACATGGGCCCACAACCTGACTTGGGAATGACAGAGAAGCCAGGATAACTGAAATACGTGTTGGGTGCAGGGAAACACAGGATGGGAGTAGATTATAGGGGGCGTTTGATGTCACACGAGAGAATTTTGTCTTTATTCTGCAACTACTGGGTAGATCTCCTGTTTCTCTTTTGTAAAATCAAATCTGTTTTTAAAAAAGATTTATCTGATGACAATTTAAAGAATGGTTTGGAAAAAGACAGGGACCAGAGAGATTGACTTGGAAAGTTGCAAGTAAGAGATAATGAATACAGGAGACAAATACCTGCAGTGGAAACGGGAAGAAAGGGCTGAATGTGAGAGTGGCACAGAGATATGATTTGATTAGCACATGAATTTGGAATAAACTACCACTGTTTTAAAATTTAATTTGCGACAGTCTTGCTGTGTCACCAAGGCTGGACAGTGGCTGCAGTGGTGCTATATTGGCTCACTGCAACCCCTGCTTCCTGGGGGCTCAAGCGAGCCTTCCACCTCAGCTTCCTGAGTAGCTGTGACTGCTGGTGCCTGCCAGCATGCTCGGCTAATGTTTTAGCATTTTCTGTAGAGACAGGGTTTCACCATGTTGCCCAGGCTGGTCTCAAACATCTAGGCTCAAGTAATCTGCCCGCCTCAGTCTCCCAAAGTGCTAAGATTACAGGTGTGTGAGCCACCACACCTGGCCTACCACTTTCTTTATCGTCCCCTTTTCTTCCTGTTTTTCTTTGGCCTGTTCCTTACTGCCTCTGGCTCATCTTGATCTGCAATTTTATTGGTATAATTGCCATATTGACTCAGGAAACTAGCTACCAACTACATTTTAACTAGCATCTTTAAAACGCTTGTCTGAGAAAGAGTAACAATGTTTACTACAAGCATTTATACCAGGGCAAATGGTATAAGGACTAAGGAGAAATACACTTTTCCTAATTACAGTGTTGACCCCTTAGGACGCTGAGCATTTGTAATTTAATTACATCAGTGAGTTAATGTGGAAAAGTACCTGATACACTTCGTGTTAGTTTCATTTTGCTTCCAAGTATTACTTTCACTTTCTTCTTTAATTTTTTGAAGTAAAGAGGATTATCAGATTTAAACAAAGTTACACAAAATCCTTTTTAAAATTAAAATAATCATTGTTGAAAATCTTGCTGAAGTTCTGTTGTGTTTCTGTAGGTACAATGAGCTAAACACGTTTTAATCTTATTCAGCATTGAACATGCAGGCTTCATTTGTGAAAAGTCCTGTGTTTGTTTGAAGAACCAGGCACAAGAGTAATCACAGAACATACTTTTGAAAGTACATGTGGGGTTTTTGTTGTTGCTGCTGTTTATTTTTAAAAACTGAACCCTACTTGGCCAGGCACGGTGGCTCATGCCTGTGATCCCGGCACTTTGGGAGGACAAGGCTGGTGTATCATGAGGTCAGGAGTTCAAGATCAGCCTGGCCAAGATGGTGAAACCCTGTCTGTACTAAAAATACAAAAAATTAGCCAGACGTGGTGTCAGGCGCCTATAATCCCAGCTACTCAGGATGCTGAGGCAGAGAATTGCTTGAACCCAGGAGGCGGAGCTTGCAGTGAGCCGAGATCACACCACTGCACTCCAGCCTGGGTGACAGAGCGAGACTCTGTCTCAAAAACAAAACAAAACAAACTGAACCCTACTTTTAAGCCAGTTTACTTTATGTTTGCTTTTTCTCACTTTTTATTTTTTTCAGAGTTACATCCTAAAAAATGTTTTTAGTTAATTGAAAGATTTTGGTCTAGTTGGAGTTGATATATTAATGTGCAGTGAAGTTTCCCAATGTAGCAAATTTAAACTATGGAAGAAGAAGAAGAAAAGGTAATCTTGCTTTGTTTCTTTCTCCAGATATACTGATAATATATATTATGACCAAAGAGATCTAACTAGCTTCAATTCCTCTTTGGGGAAATAACACTTTACCCAAAGGTGTTTATTTTTATCACTTTCTGGAATGTTTTGGGGATTTCATGATCACATGCCGACCAAATTCCTTTTAGATTCTTAGAGCCTCCTGCTCAGCCTCTAATTGCCACCTACTCTGTCTGATAATTACCTTTCTGTTTGGAATCTAGTATTTTATGAAAACTAAAGATACTTGATCTTCACCTTGATATAGCATCTAGATACAGACTATCCCCTGCACAAGGAAACCTCAATGGGTAGAGGCTTTTGCAGAGACACAACCCTGTATGCACTTGAGGGTATGTGGGGAGTTCAGGCTCATCATTTTAGTATGCGTTTTCACAGCGTTCTGCTCGAGTGCGTAGCCAAGGCTGTATCTCCTTTTAGCTTAGTAAAAACCTGATCTGTCTCCATTACACTACAAAACATATTATGTTGACTTTCAGTGTTTTTGCACAGAATGTGAGACCTGCTAAGAGTAGGGTACATGCCATTAACAGGAGCATTTGGGGAGCTAGTATCACAATCTTCTCAAGTTAGGTGAGAACAGTGGTAACAGTGATGCCCATCAACCAGTACTCTCAGCCTTTACCCAGAGGCCTCTTCACTCATTTGCTTCTGAGGATCGGCTTTCTGATTGATTCTAGTTAGGTTGACAATGGACTGAACTATCATCAAGCAGCCATAAAAACGTCATTTTTTTTCCTATGCTTGTCAGTCTTTTTCTTTTTCTTTATTACAATCGGTAATTCTCATATTTCTTTTTCCTCCTGGTCTTTGTAACTTTTTTGTCATCAACTCATCTGTTCCCTTAATCCTTTTCTTTTCATGCCTTGTTTCCTGGTGTTTGATTTTGCTTCATTTCCCAAAGTGATCCTTACGTTTCAGCTTTTTAGTCGTTTATTGATAATGCTTTGGTTAATTTTTTCCCCTTCAAACAAGTTTTACAGTAATAATCTCCCTCCCACCCAGCTTTATCATGGTATAATTGATAGATACTCATCTTTATTTACAGGTATTTCTGTTTTATTTTCTTTGACACCAACATTTCTTTTCCTGTCATTGATAACATTTTTTTTCCAGAAACGGCAAATTCTAATCTAAATCATTTTGCTATTTATTGTCTTTGAATTCAAAGTTGGAAACCTCACATATGCAAATGCAGTTGTTTGCTGTAATCATCAAACCCTGATTCCTTTAGTGAATATATTCTGTTTTGCATTTAGATGTAGGGGGGAAATGAGAGCATTTGTGCAAAATAAAGCTAGAGGGAAAGAAAGGATCATGTGGAATTTTATTTTTTATTAGAAATAACTAATTAAATCTGTATATAACTCAAGAAAAGGAGAACTTGACCTTTTGTTTGTAATAATGAAGAGTAGGGTGACTGGTTGAATCTCACACATGAGAAAGTTGAGACGTTTCTTCTTGGTGGAAGTGATTACTAAGCAGGGATTATGAAAAAGGACAACACAGGGGAAAAGTGGAGAGTTCTCCTGGTCAGATCACAAGCAGCACAGTCAGACTCGTAGGAGGTAGGAATTGACTATATCATGGCAATTGTTTTTTTTTTTTTTTGAGAGAGAGCCTCGCTCTGTCACCCAGGCTGGAGTGCAGGGGCGCGATCTCGGCTCACTGCAAGCTCTGCCTCCCGGGTTCACGCCATTCTCCTGCCTCAGCCTCCCGAGTAGCTGGGACTACAGGCGTGCACCACCTCGCCCAGCTAATTTTTTGTATTTTTAGTAGAGATGGGGTTTCACCGTGTTAGCCAGGATGGTCTCGATCTCCTGACCTCGTGATCCACCCGCCTCAGCCTCCCAAAGTGAGCCACGACGAGTATTTTCAAGAGATCTGACGTGTACTGTGCATCGCGGTAAAGCAGCCATGGAGTGGGTAATTCACCCCCGCATCTTTCTGTAACCAAGGAAGGTAACAGGCTGTCGGCTGCCGTGGACTCCGCTGGTATTTTAAATTATCCATCCCCTGGTTTGCAGGTAATAAGAGTGATGCAGAAACAATGTGCCTCCTTGTTTTTCTTCAGTTCTTGTGTAGTTTCTCTAAATGCCATTGTGTATCCTTCATCACTTACCTTATATGTCCTGTGATCTTGAGAGCTGGTGCTCTCAATAACAAATAGCCAACTAATATGCCGGAGTGTTCAATCCCTAACTCAAAGACTTGTCAGGCTAATGATGAATGACTGTGAAATCCATCCCCAGTTTCCCTACCCAAATTATCTGCGTAAGTGTTTTTACTCTGTTATTTAGAGAGAGCGGTGTGATAGGTGAAAAAGAAATGTGAATTTACGTTTGCAAATAACTAATTTAAACTCTGTGCCAAGGGAAATGGCACTGCTTAACTGAGCATGGATAGAAAATACTGGGAACATATGTGCACAAAGTCACCTCCAGAGTATGGCCACATTTGGCAAGACCACTGACTTGGCATAAGCAGTGTAACTTTATATCGGAGGCATATTTTGGATTTTGAGTGACATATGATAGCATATTCTATGACGACCGACTCGGAATGGTGAAAGCAAAGAACTATGACGCTGAAAGTGGTGGTGAATCCTTCTGGGCAATGTTAAGAGTCAAGAAGGCCAGAGCGAGCCAATCTGTGTAGTGACTGAGGCTCCAAGAACAGGGGGTGGTCAGACGTTCAGGGCCTAGTGTGGCTGTGGTGACACCAACAACCTGTACTCAGATCCTGCTGTTACAGAAAAAAATACTCAGTCCTGTTTGTTAAAGCACAGGACCATGGCGATAGGTACAGGGACCACTGCAACCAGGTCTTGCACTGGGGGAGAAAGATTAGGCTCAGCTCCAAATACATTGTGGGCACGTGGGAATTGGTAGCCAAGGGGCAGTGTGGGGGTCGGTAGATGGAAAATTACCAAGAGGAAATATCCAGGTAAGGGGGATTCTGGCTAACCTCACCTAACAGTATTAGGTCAGGCTTCTTTTACTACTTAATAAAAATGTTTTAAATTTCTTTTTCTTTGGAACCTGTTGCTGGAGAATTAATGTATTTCTTAGTCATATGTCCTTGCTTTTGTCATGTTTCTTGTGTCCTTAAATTGATGTCTGCACTCCTGGTCTAACAATTGCTTCTTCCATTTATTTATTATCCATTTTTAAATTGTTTTATTTATTTTTCGCTTTCTCTTCCACAGACAGTGACTTGTGCTCCTTCCAGTTTTTTAAATTTGCATTCACAGGGGAGGATTTTTCCTGAAGATAGGTCTATAGTGGTGTTTGGGTTGGGCACTGTGTTTTTTAATTTGTTGTTTCTTGGTTGGTTGGGTGGGGGTGGGGGGGGTGGGTTTCTTTTTTTTGGAGACAGGGTCTCACTCTGTTGCCCAGGCTGGAGTCCAGTGGTACAATCTTGGCTCACTGCAACCTGTGCCTCCCAGGTTCAAGAGATTCTTCCACCTCAGCCTCTCAAGTATCTGGGACTACAGGTGTGTGCCACCACGCCTGGCTAATTTTTGTATTTTTAGTGAAGACAGGGTTTCACCATGTTGGCCAGGCTGGTCTTGAACTCCTGACCTCAAGTGATCCACCGCCTTGGCCTCCCAAAGTGCTGGGATTACAGGCGTGAGCCACCGCATCCGGCCTTGGTTGGGTACTTTGGTTTTGGTTCTGGGTGCGCACGGTAGTGTAGTCTCCATATGATTTTTTTTCTTTTTCTTTTTTGGCTGTATCGGCATCCGTGGTGTCTATAATTTCCTCAGTGGCTCTGGGTGGTGTGGTTGTTAGCAGAAGCTGCAGTGAAATTTTGCTGGGGACAGGGACCCCGGGCGCACCAGTCCTTGGGCCCCACGGTGGCGGTGGTGGGCTAAATGTGCCTGTCCTTGGCCTCAAGGCTGTGTACACTGGCATCCACGTTAGCAAGTCTAGGCATGTCAGTTCTTGGGCATCCAGTTGGCTTGCTTGGGTGCTGGTGGTAGGTGGCATCAGTGTGCTGGGTGGGAGGGTCCTTGGGCGTCTGGGCAATGGGCGTGGCATAGGCAATGGCAGTAGCAATGGCAGGAGGATCCCCTGGCTCCCAAGTGGCCAGTGTTGGTGTTGGCTGCACCCGGCTGGGCAGTCCGGTCCTTAGGCCTGCAGTTGGCACATGCAATGGATGCTAGATGTGCTGGTAGCGGCAGGTCGGGCAGGCCCATCCTCAGGCTTGCAGAGGAACTGCTCAGCTGCCCACAGTGGTGGATGGACGGGGTAGGGCAATCCCCAGGCCTTTGCATGGCTTGCCTGGTCACTGGGGCTGGTGGAACTGGGCCAGGTGTCCTGAAGAGTGTGTGCTTTGGTCCTAGGTGGTGGCTGCAGGTGGGTTAACCTGTCCTAGGGTACTTGTATGTGCATGGTGGCCTTGCTGCTGGGGCCACAGGGTCACTGCTAGTGGCTTGTGCTTCAGCCCTGGCAGCAGCAGGAGCCAGCAGTGGCTGTGGTGGAGGATATCAATGGGGCTCCAGGAATGTGGACATTCAAGGGCTATTTGGGGCCCAGGGCAGGATGCTGCCTGGTGGAAGCTGGGCCCTCAAAATGGTGCTGTGCTGTAGCTGCTTAGGACTCGAGCAGTATGTGGGGCCCAGCACAAGCTCCCTCCCTGGAGCAGTGCCACAGCGTGGTCCCCGGGCAGCACTCTGTTAGTCTAAGGACCACAAGGGGCTCTCCTGTGGCTCGGATCACAGGAGTCCATGTGGGAATGTGGACGGCTGGGCATCTCTCACTTACTCTCTCCACACAGTGGGGAGCCTCTTCAGGGTCCCAGCCAAAGAGGCTGCCTTGCTTCCCTCTCCTTTCTTGCCTTAGGCGTCTCCTGTCACTTCCATGTTGAATTCCACTGTTCTCTGTTAGATGATCTGTTCCAGTTGTGATTCCGTCCTGCTGTTTCCAGTTGCGATTCCGTCCTGCTGTTTCGATTCTTCTTTGTGGAGGAAGCAAGTTCCAGATGCATCTTCTCAGTCACCTTGAGGCCCCTCTTACCTAACTGGATTCTTGCTGAAGACAGGCCAGGGTGATCAGACAGCACCCGAGGGTGGTGAAGGATGAGGAACATGAAGATTCTGAGTACCGAGGTTCTGGCGAAACCGGCTAGGCAGGGTTCTTTTGCTAAAACTGGATTTTGAGGAACAACACGGATGGACCTAGGAGATTCAGAGGCGTGAATCTCCTCTGAATTTGGCCAAGTAAAGAATCTCCTCTGAGTTTGGCCAAGTAAAGAATCTTTGTCACTAGTTACGTACACTGTGACTTACTTCTGGAAACCTAGAGGTATATGTAGTGATACTGTATTTCATTAATTCTGAGATATCTGATTTATAATACACAGGCTGACAGTTTAATTGGTAGTGTTTTTTCTTAGTGGTACGTAACATAATGGTGTGGACTGTTTATTGAGTGGGTCTTACAGTTGATCGAACTATGGTAATAATTATGATCTTGCTACCATTTACTAAGCTTCCTATATGCCCTGAGTCATTCCAAGGCCCACATGTATTTTCTCATTTAATCCTCACAATCCCTCCATTTTATAGCTTTCTGGTAAATTCTGGTAATTTATTTCTGGGCTCTTCCTAATAAAATCTCATTAGCCGATGGTTTAGAAATGCAGGCACATTTAACACATTTTACCCCACATAAAGCAACTGAATCCCTGATGTTTTAAAATACGGTGACATGGGGTAGCAGAAGGCATTCACAAAACAGGAAACAATTGGGTTCGTTTTGGGGGGATATGGAGGAGGACCGGGGTAGGAAGGAAGCTTACTTTTCTATTCTGTCTCTGGTTGTGCCGTGTATGAATTCCTGCAAATACTGTGACATTCACATGACAGAGTGCCAAGGCTTCATTTTCTGTTTCTTCCTTTAGCTACTTGCTCTTTTGTAGCCGATTTATCTTTGCAGCCTGCCTTAGGAGAGAATATCTCTCTCTCTGTGGCATTAATTTGGGAATGGCGGCTGGCTATAGTTAGACAATGGGAGAGTGGAAAATTCAAAGGCCATCCATTTTAGTTGACGCTTCCCAGCTGGTCTTCAGTAATCCCCAGCAATTCTTCCTGTGGACGATCTGACAGTACGTGGAGGCCAGCCCGCCTCCCAGGGCCACGGAAGAGCAGCAGACTCATTTGTTTCTAAATTGATCTGGCAGATTCGACGCTGCCCCGCATTATTGCAACTTATGTTTTGACAGAGTGACTTAACAAAGAAATATGGCCAATAGTCAGGAAAATAATCTTTGGCTGAGGAAGGCTAAAATTTGTCAAAATTAGAGAGAAATGGGGAGTTTTTTACATTTTTGTTTTACTTGGGCGGTGAAATAATAGCAACATGATTAAAAGGGACAATTTTTCCTCTTTTCTTCCTAGTGCCTGGCGCTGTGCTTGGTACATAATAGACCCTTAATGAATGAACAAATCTATCCTTCTGATGGGTCTAGTGTACAACACTGTGTTTCAGACCCGACCTTTAGCTTAACCCCCTCCCCACTCTGCCTGTACGTACTTCCTTCATAACTGAGTTTTCTGCAAAGGTTATTTTGACCAAATTTCCTTGATGCGTGAGAACATCGGACCATGTAGCCTCAGAAGCGTCTGTTGAGTTCTCTTACCTTTCTTTCATGAAGATACTGTACTCATAGCTTCTTTGTGAGGGGATTGGAGAACTGGAAGAGGTGAGGTGAAGTGCTTTGAGGCGTGAGTGGCGTGGGAACGTCAGATGTTCCTCTCATGGACAACATATTTGGGATTTAGTGTAAAGACCTGTTTGATAGAAAACAATGTGTTGAGTGGTGTGATTTTTAGGTGGCCTCCACATGCGGTGGAGGAAGGTGGTGGAGGAGAGCTTTGAGGACAAGTAAGTTTGGAACAACTCTGAGACCATCTCTCCTCTCCTGTTCAGATTCTTTGTCACTTGTATTCAGCTCTTCCTGTATCTCCTTTCTGGCTCTTCAGAGAAAAAACCTAAATTGTGGTATTTCAGGCAGTACTATCTTTAATATTGCTGTGCTGTTTCCTTTTTTAAATTTAACTGCGGGGGTGCATGTACAGGACGTTCAGGTTTGTTACATATGTAAACATGTGCCATAGTGGTTTGCTGCAGCTATCACCCCATCACCTAGGTATTAATCTAATCCCAGCGTGCATTAGCTATTTATGCTGATGTTCTTCCGCCCCTCAATCCCCGGACAGGCCCCAGTGTATGTTGTTCCCCTCCCTGTGTCCATGCGTTCTCAATGTTCAGCTCCCACTTATAAGTGAGAACATGTGGTGTTTGGGTTTCTGTTCCTGCATTAGTTTGCTGAGGATATTGACTTCCAGTTCCATCTAAGTCCCTGCAAAGAACATGATCGTGTTCCTTTTTATTACTGTGTAGTATTCCATGGTGTATATGTACCATGATTTTTTTATCCAGTCTATTATTGATGGACATTTAATTCCTTGTCTTTGCTATTGTGAATAGTGCTGCAAAGAAAATAGACATGCATGTATCTTTGTAGTAGAATAACTTATATTTCTTTGGGTATATAACCAGTAATGAGATTGCTGGGTCAAATGGTATTTCTGCTTCTAGGCCTTTGAGGAATTGCCACACTCTTGCACAATGATTGAACAAATTTACATTCTCATCAACCATGTAAAAGCATCCCTATTTCTTTGCAGCCTTGCCAGCATCTGTTGTTTCTTGACTTTTTAATCACCATTCTGAGTGGGTGAGATTCTCATTGTGGCTTTGATTTGCATTTCTCTGATCAGTGATGTTGAGCTTTTTTTCATGTTTGTTGGCAGCATAAATGTCTTCTTTTGAGAAGTGTCTGTTCATGTCCTTTGCCCATTTTTTTAATGGGGCTGTTTGTTTTCTTCTTGTAAATTTGTTTAAGTTCCTTGTAGACTCTGGACATTAGACCATTGTTAGATGGATAGATTGCAAACATTTTCTTCCATTCTGTAGGCTGTTTGCTCTGATGACAGTTTCTTTTGCTGTGCGAAAGCTCTTTAATTAGATCCCATGTGTCCATTTTTGCTTTTGTTGCAATTGCTTTTGATGTTTTCTTCATGAAATCTTTGCCTATGCCTATGTCCTGAATGGTATTGCCGAGATTTTTTTCTGGAGTTTTTTATAGTTTTATGTTTTATATTTATGTCTTTAATCCATCTTGAGTTAATTTTTGTATAATGTGTAAGGAAGGGGTCCAGTTTCAGTTTTCTGCATATGGCTAGCCAGTTCCCCCAGTACCATTTTTTAAATAAGGAATCCTTTCTCCATTGCTTTTGTCAGGTTTATCGAAGATCAGATGGTGGTAGATGTGCAGTCTTATTTCTGAGTTCTCTATTCTGTTCCATTAGTCTATATGTCTGTTTTTGTACCAGTACCATGCTGTTTTAGTTACAGTAGCCTTGTAGTGTAGTTTTAAGTTTGGTAGCATGATGCCTCCGGCTTTGTTCTTTTTGCTTAGGATTGTCTTGGCTCTACAGGCTCTCTTTTGGTTCCATATGGATTTTAAAATAGTTTTTTCTAATTCTGTGAATAATGTCAATGGTAGTTTAATGGGAATAGCATTGAATCTATAAATTACTTTGGGCAGTATGGCTATTTTCATAATAAAGATTTCTCCTATCTATGAGCATGGAATATTTTTCCATTTATTTGTGTCCTCTGATTTTCTTGAGCGGAGGTTTATCGTTCTCCTTGAAGAGATTCTTTATTTTCCTTGTTAGCTGTATTCCTAGGTATTTTATTCTCTTTGTAGCAATTATGAATAGGAGTTTATTCATCATTTGGCTCTCTGCATGTCTGTTGGTGTATAGGAATGCTTGTGATTTTTGCACATTGATTTTTTTTTTAATCCCGAGAGTTTGCTGAAGTTGCTCATCAGCTTAAGAAGCTTTTAGGCTTAGACGATGGAGTTTTCTAGATATAGGATCATGTTATCTGCAAACAAAGACAATTTGACTTCCTCTCTTCCTATTTGAGTACCCTTTATTTCTCTCTCTTGCCTGATTGCCCTGGTCAGAACTTCCAATACTGTGTTGAATAGGAGTGGTGAGAGAGGGCATCCTTGTCTTGTGCCAGTTTTCAAGAGGAATGCTTCCAGCTTTTGCCCATTCAGTATGACATTGGCTGGGTGGGTTTGTCATATATGGCTCTTAATATTTTTGAGTTATGTTCCTTCAATACCTAGTTTATTGAGGGTTTTTACAATGAGGGGGTGTTGAATTTTCTCAAAGGCGTTGTCTGCATCTATTGAGATAATCATGTGGTTTTTGTCACTGGTTCTATTTATGTGATGAATTACATTTATTTACCGATTTGCAAATATTGAACCAGCTTTGCATCCCTGGGATGGAGCCTACTTGATCATGGTGGGTAAGTTTTTTGATGTGCTGCTGGATTTGGTTTGCCAGTATTTTATTGAGGATTTTCACACTGATGTTCATCAGGAGTATTGGCCTGAAGTTTTCTTTTTTTGTTGTACCTCTGCCAGGTTTTGGTGTCAGGATGACGCTGGCCTCATAAAATAAGTTAGCGAGGAGTCCCTCTTTTTCAATTGTTTGGAATAGTTTCAGAATAAATGGTACCACTTCGTCTTTGTACCTCTTGTAGAATTCAGCTGTCAATATGTCTGGTCCTAGGCTGCTTTTGGTTGGTAGGCTATTACTGCCTCAATTTTGGAACTTGTTACTGATCTATTCAGATTCTACTTCTTCCTGCTTTAGTCTTGGGAGGATGTATGTGTCCAGGAATTTATCCATTTATTCTAGATTTTCTAGTTTATTTGCATAGAGGTGTTTATAGTACTCTCTGATGGTTGGTTGTATATCTGTGGGATCAGTGGTGATATCCCCTTTATCATTTTTCATTGTGTCTGTTTGATTCCTCTCCCTTTTTAAGTCTAGCTAGTGGCCTATTTTATTTAAAAAAAAAAAAAAAAAAAACTCAGCCCCTGTATTCTTTGATTTTTTTTTTTTTTTTGGAAAGTGTGTGTGTGTCTGTCCTCAGTTCCTCTCTGATCTTGGTTATTTGTTGTCTTCTGCTAGCTTTGGGGTTTGTTTGCTCGTGGTTCTCTAGTTCTTTTAGTTGTGTGATGTTAGGATGTCGATTTGAGGTCTTTCTAGCTTTTTGATGTGGGCTTTTAGTACCATAAATTCCCCTCTTAACACTGCTTTAGCTCTATCCCAGAGGTTCTGGTACATAGTTTCTTCGTTCTCATTGGTTTCAAAGAACTTCTTCATTTCTGCCTCAATTTCATTATTTACCCAGGAGTCATTCAGGAGCACATTGTTCAATTTCCATGTAGTTGTGTGGTTTTGAGTGAGTTTCTTAATCTTGAGTTCTAATTTGATTGTGCTGTGGTCTGAGAGACGGTTATGACTTTAGTTATTTTGCATTTGCTGATTAGTGTTTTACTTCCAATTAGTAAAACAATTAGAAGGGATCAATTTTAGAGTGAGTGCCATGTGGCACAGAGAAGAATGTGTATTCTGTTTTGGGGGGTTAGAGATTTTTATAGGTATGTCAGATCCACTTATCCAGAGCTGAGTTCAGATCCTGAATAGCTTTATTAATATTCTGTCTTGATGATCTGTCTAATGTTGGCAGTGGGGTGTTAAAGTCTCCCATTATTGTGTGGGAGTCTAAGTCTCTTTGTAGGTCTCTAAGAACTTGTTTTATGAATCTGGGTGCTCCTGTATTGGGTGCATATATAGTTAGGATAGTTAGCTCTTCTTGTTGAATTGAACCCTTTACCATTATGTAATGCCCTTCTTTGTCTTTTTTGATCTTTGCTGGTTTAAAGTCTGTTTTGTTAAAAACTAGGATTGCAATGCCTGCTTTTTTTCTGCTTTCCATTTGCTTGGTAAATTTTCCTGTATCCCTTTATTTTGAGCCTGCGTGTGTCTTTGCACGTGAGATGGGTGTCTTAAACACAGCACACTGATGGGTCTCAGCTGTTCATCCAGCTTGCCATTCTGTGTCTTTTAATTGGGGCATTTAGCCCATTTACATTTAAGGTTAATATTGTTATGTGTGAATTTGATCCTGTCATCATGATGCTAGCTGGTTATTTTGCAGACTTGTTGATATAGCTGCTTCATAGTGTCATCGGTCTGTGTACTTCAGTGTGTTTCTGTAGTGGCTGGTAACAGTTTTTCCTTTCCTTATTTAGTGCTTCCTTTAGGAGCTCTTGCAAGGTAGGCCTGGTGGTGACACATTTCCTCACCATTAGCTTGTGTGAAAAGGATTTTATTTCTCCTTCACTTATAAAGCCTAGTATGGCCAGTTATGAAATTCTGGGTTGGAAATTATTTTCTTTAAGAATATTGAGGCAGGGTGCAGTGGCTTATACCTGTAATCCCAGCACTTTGGGAGGCTGAGGCAGGCAGATCACTTGAGGTCAGGAGTTGGAGACCAGCCTGGCCAACATGTTGAAAACCTGTCTCTACTAAAAATACAAAAAAATTAGCTTGGCATGGTGGCATGCACCTGTAATCTCAGCTACTCGGGAGGCTGAGGCAGGAGAATCACTTGTACCTGGGAGGCAGAGGTTGTAGTGAGCCGAGATTGTTCCATTGCTCTCCAGCCTGGGTGACAGAGTGAGACTCTGTCTCAAAACAAACAAACGAAAAAAATGTTGAATATTGATCCCTAATCTCTTCCACCTTGTAGGGTTTCCACTGAGAGATCTGCTGTTAGTCTGATGGGCTTCCCTTTGTACGTGACCTGGCCTTTCTCTCTGGCCGCCCTTAACATTTTTTCTTTCATTTCAACCATGGAGAATCTGATGATTATGAGTCTTGGGGTTGATCTTCTCATGGAGTATCTTACTGGGGTTCCCTGGATTTTTTGAGTTTGAATGTTGGTCTGTCTTGCTAGGTTGGGCAAGTTCTCCTGGATGATACCTTGAGTTATGTTTTCCAACTCGGTTTTGTTCTCCCCAGCTCTTTCAGGTACCCCAATCATTCGTAGATTTGGTCTTTTTATATAAACCAATAGTTCTTGGAGGTTTTGTTCATTCCTTTTCATTCTTTTTTCTCTAATCTTGTCTACCTGTCTTATTTCAGCAAGACAGTCTTCAAGCTCAGAATTCTTTCTTCCACTTGGTCTGTTCAGCTGTTGTTACATGTGGCTGCATTGTGAAGTTCTCATGTTGTGTTTTTCAGCTCCATCAGGTCATTTATGTTCCTCTCTCAACTGGTTATTCTGCTTAATAGCTCCTGTAATGTTTTATCATGGTTCTTAGCTTCTTTGCATTGGGTTAGAACAAACTACTTTAACTCAGTGAAGTTCGTTATTACCCACCTTCTGAAGCCTACTTTTGTCATTTCATCCAGCTCAGACTCTGCCTAGTTCTGTGCCCTTGCTGGAGAGATGTTGCAGTCATTTGAAGGAGAAGAGGCACTATGGCTTTTTGAGTTTTCAGCATTTTTGCATTGATTCTTTCTCATCTTTGTGGGCTTATCTACCTTTGACCTTTGAGGCTGTTGACCTTTAGGTGGGGTTTTTGTGGAGTCTTTTTTGTTGATGATGATGTCGGTGGTAGTGGTGCTTTCTGTTTTTTTTTGTTTTGTTTTGTTTTGTTTTTTTAACAGTCAAGACCCTCTTCCATAGGGCTGCTGTGGTTTGCTGAGTCCATTCCAGACCGTATTCACCTGGGTGCTTCCTGCACCTGGAGGTATCACCAGTGGAGGCTGCAGAATAGCACAGATGGCTGCCTGCCCCTTCCTCTGGGAGCTTCCTCCCAGAGAGGCACTGACCTGATGCCAGCTAGAATGCTCCTGTCAGAGGTATCTAGTGACCCCAGTTGGGAGGTCTCACCCAGTCAGGAGGCACAGGATGAGGGATATGCTTAAAGAAGCAGTGTGGCTGCCCCTTGGCAGAGCAGGTGCACTGCGCTGGGGGGAGTTCCCCTTGTCCAGACTGCATGGACTCTTCAGAGCTAGCAGGCAGGAAAGACTAAGTCTGCTGAACATAGAGACCATAGCTGCCCCTCCCCCCAGTGCTGTGTCCCGGGGAGATCAGAGTTCTGTCCGTAAACCCCTGGCTGGAGTTGCTGAAATTCCCTGAGGGGAAGGTGAGGAGGGATGGATCTGTGACCCACCTAAAGAAACAGTCTGGCCATGATTTGCCATAGCCGCTATGCTGCACTGTGGAGAATTCCTCCCAGTCCAAACCACCCAGTCTCCCCGGCACCGACTGGAGCCACAGTGATTGCAGCTGTCCCTCTCTCTTCTTCTTTTTCAATGACATGAAGGCCTCCCACAGGAAAAGACTTTCGAACCGTTCTTAAGGGACCAGTGGTATTTCAGTAGCTAGAGGAAGGAGGGGAGAACATTCTAAGCAGTGGGACTGTTCCACCTGGCAGAGACATGAAGGTGTGAAGACAGGAAAACTGAGAGGAAAACATGAGAAGGCAGACACTAGAGAAGAGACTAGAAAAGTTGATGGGGACCAGATCTGGACCCAACAGTCAGCCTGTCTCCTCTAGGCCAGGGTTTGGCTATTTATTTATTTATTTCTTCCTGAGACGGAGTCTTGCTCTGTCGCCAGGCTGGAGTGGAGTGGTGCGATCTTGGCTCACTGCAACCTCTGCCTCCTGGGTTCAAGCGATTCCCCTGCCTCAGTCTCCCGAGTAGCTTGGACTACAGACACCTGCCACCACCATGCCTAGCTAATTTTTTGTATTTTAGTAGAGATGGGGTTTCACCATATTGGCCAGGCTGGTCTCGATCTCCTGACCTCGTGATCCACCCGCCTTGGCCTCCCAAAGTGTTGGGATTACAGGTGTGAACCATGGTGCCTGGCCTGTCTATCTTTTTAAACCGATACTTCTATAATGCTTTCTTAGTCAAGAGGGTCCTGCTAACTAGCTAAGAAGAGTTTGTCAAACTGTATTTTCAGCAATGTCCATTACAAAAGAAAATATGTTTAATCTACTTTTCTAAATTATCTATTTTCTTCACATTCTTTTTTTTTTAAATTTTTTTATTTTTTAATTTTTTTTATTGAGATGGAGTCTCGCTCTGTCGCCGAGGCTGGAGTGCAGTGGTGTGATCTTGGCTCACTGTAACCTCCACTTCCTAGGTTCAGGTGATTCTGCCTCACCCTCCCGAGTAGCTGGGAATATAGCCTCAGGCCACCACGCCCGGCTAATTTTTGTATTTTTAGTAGAGACAGGGTTTCACCATGTTGGCCAGGGTGGTCTTGAACTCCTCTTTTCTTCACATTCTGATGAACTCTTGAGTCAGGAAAGGGGAACCTTCCTTGCAAATTGCTGCAGCAACTCACTGAAGCGGTGTAGGGGCAGTATGCTGGTGTTTTAGCTACTTACCAACTCAGGAATCTGGTCAGGAAAGAGGCTGGGAATGGCACTATTTATGTATTCATGATGGTGACTAGTTAAAAATGGTACCAGAAGAGAAGACAAAAGATCAAATGATATCCTTGCATTGAAATCCCACCAGTCTGATTTGTGTATCTGGCCATCTATAAAAGTGTCTGGAAGAAGAAGGGGAAGAATTATGAGCTACTTCTGTACAAAGGAACAGTGTAGGAGTTGGAATGAAGCCATGATAAATTTCCTCTTTTATTTCTTTCTATATTTCCAAAAATAAAGGAGCATACCTGGAGAGATCAAAAGAGGGGCTGTCTGACCTCAGAGACTCATTTCTTGATGCCTCTTGACTGCATAATTAAAGTTGTGACTCTCTCTCGTCTGATCTGTGTTTGTTCTTCCCTGGCTCCTGCCCACTAGGTTATCGGGCTGTATCCAGGGATCAGGCATGCTTGGGCAACCAAAGAAGGAGTGGCCCCCCAAGGTGCTCCCCATCTAGCCTGTCATTGGCTGCCAGAAACAGCCACGCACTAGTCCCCAAAATACCTTCATGCGGGCCCGCACAGCTTGTACACGAGTCATGCACACTTCAGCTACTGTCATGTGAAATACCTGCTTCTGGGTTTCACTCCCTGAGATGTCAGGCATCATCGGTATGGCAAACCCTTGCCTGCCAAAAGTTCACCCGGAGAGAATATTCACCTTAATTTCTACATAGTGAAAGGAACCTCAGCACGCACTGTATCTTTCATTTGGGGATTACTTTAAGCAGTTGATTAGTGTGCAGTCTTACCTTTCACGTGTAACGTTTTTCTGTAGTTTCCTTTTCTCCATTAATTTGACGGAAAAACAGATAACTTGAGCCACACGCTGCCATATCTAATTCAACTTCAGTCAGGTGCTATGCAGCACCTAGCATACTTGATTTAGGAATTTAGTACTGGGAGTAAGATTACAGTGAGGCGTCCTGGTACTGCTGGGGGTGGATTTCCACACCACTTACTTAGAGAATAATGAAACTAGAGTATCATAGAAGAGAATGTTTTTGAAGATTTAAGCTGAACAAAAGAATCTTTAAGTGCGATACATGGGAGAAAGTTCAGTTCATTGTGATAAACCTTTTGGGTAGGAGCACATCTAAATGAAATTGGTAGATGTGACCGTGGAGCTATGGAAACCTATAATGATGTCTTGTAATAAATTATTGAAGAATTTCTGAGCCTCAGGATATGGGAAGAAAATGAAACAATGAAAATGATGTGTCAGAGCTTTATACCTTCTCTACGTATTTGACAGACATCTGTGGTAAGTGCTTGTTTCATCAGATGGCTTTAAGGAGGTGAAATGCCAGGTAAGAGCCTCAGGGAAGGAACAGTGGACAAATATGTGACTATTTTGCTATTAGCAAGGATAGTTGTTTATAAGTTCTGTTGTGAGTAAAGCTTTTAGAAAATGAAAATCTGTGGATTTTAGAAAGCATGTTATCTAAAGGGGCTTCATTTGCTAACATTTGGCAGTTTGACTGTGGGAGAGAGATAAAATAGAAAGCACAATTTTATGATTGCCATTCCTTATGATATTGGCCTTGATATTGATTTTAGCCTTGACAAGTGATTGTTGAGGATTTTGTGTGTCTAGTGTGCACTGCAGACTTATTTGTGGCCAGAGCTTGAAATGGGACAGACACCACTGCAGTTGTGAAAACAGTTGGATGTATCTCAGTCTAGAAAGACAAATTCCCAAATATATTGTCATGTGTGGTGGGATAAAGAGTTTTCTTAAATAATATTATTATTTTATTTTTTACTTGACTTGTATTACAAAGTGAATTTGTAAAATCTTTAATAATCATAGCATATAAAGACAAATTTTTAGTTTTCTCCTTTATCACGTGATATCGCATGGTTTAACCTGCTGTAAATTAGTTTTGTAAAAACATTATTACCACAACATTTTTTTTTGTGGCGGGGACAGTCATTGGAGTGCAGTGGCGCGATCATGGCTCACTGCAGCCTCAGCCTCCTGAGTAGCTGGACCTACAGGTAGGTGCATGGCATCATGCCCAGCTAATTTTTGTATTTTTTATAGTGGCGAGGTTTTGCCATGTTGCCCAAGCTGGTCTCAAACTTCTGGGCTCAATCGATCCACTTGCCTTGGCCTCCCAAAGTACTGGGATTACAGGAGTGAGCCGCTGCGCCTGGCCTTAATCAACACAAATTTTTAAATGAAATATTATTGCTTTGGGCCTTAGGTTGCATATTGCTTTCATGACCTGATGCTTCACATTCTTATAATTAACTCTTTAAGAAACCAGCTGGATTATGTTTCATGACTTCTATGTTCTTTTTCTCGATTATAAGACAAGAAAGGTTTTAGGTAGCAAAGTGCAAGCACATTCCAAATCACACACTGGGGACTTTCGTGGTCTTCACGCCATCTGCAAAAAAAAAAATAAGATTACGTATTCAGTGTATGTTCTCCTCCTAACATTTTTTCAAATATTAGAGATGTCTTGAGATGCTCTATAAGAATTTCAACCTGGTAAGTCATGATATAAAGCATCTTGAGACAAATTTATAGAATTATCATTTTATGTATTTTCCCTTGTTTTTCAACATCCTTGCTTTCTGTCTTATTAAATTATTTAAAATTTTAATTAACGAATAACAATTGTATATATTTAGAGTACAATGTGAATTTTTGGTAAATGTATACAAGGTGGAATGATTAAATCAAGCTAATTTAGCATATCCCTTACCTCATGTCATTTTTTACGGTGAGGCATTTGAAATTTTTTCTTGGAAACTTTGAAATATATATACAATTTATTATTAACTGTAGTCATCATGCTGTGGTGATCTCAAGAACTTATTCCTCCTGTGAAGAAGGTGAAACTTTGCACCCTTTGACCAACATCTCCCCATTTCTCTCCCCAGCCCATGCCTCTGGTAACCACCATTATACTCTATTACTATGAGTTTGACTTTTTAATATTCCACATATAAGTGAGATCATGGATTATTTGTCTTTTTGTACCTGGCTTAGTTCACTTAACATACTGTCCTCCAGGTTCATCCATATTCTTGCAAATGACAGAATTTCCTTCTTTTTAAGGGCTGAATATTACTCCATTTGTGTATCTATACTACATTTTCTTGATCCATTTGTTGATGGACACTTAGGTCAATTCCATATCGTAGCTAATGTGAAAAATGCTGCAGTGCACGTGAGAGTGGGAGCACGGATATCTCTTATTTTAGTTAGTTGAGTACAGAAATGGGATTGCTTGATTATATGGCAGTTCTATTTTGAGGTTTTCGAGTAACTTCTGTACAGTTTTTCATAATGGCTGGACTAATGTAGACTCCACCAGTGTGCAGGAATTCCCTTGTCTCCACATCCTCACCAAGGTTTATCTTTCATCTTTTTGATGAAACAGGCATGAGGTGATACCTCATTGTGATTTTATTTTGTATTTTCCTAATGATTGAGCATTTGGTGATATTGAGCATTTTCTCATGAATCTTTTGACCATTTATATGTCTTCTTTTGAGAAATGTCTACTCAAATCCTTTGCCCATTTTAAAATTGGGTTGTTTGTTTTCTTGATATTGTGTTGCTTGAGTTTCTTATATATTTTAGGTATTAACCTCTTATCCGTTGTATGGTTTATAAATACTTTCTCCCACTCTGTGGGTTGTCTCTTTCTTGACCATTTCCTGTGCTATGCAGAAGCTTTTTAGTTTGATGCAACCCCATTTGTCTACATTGTGCTTTGGAGTCATATCTCCTACTTGCTTCTGTCTTTAATCAGGGGTCCATTAGGTTTGCAAATGAAATAACGTGACTAAGAAACAATGGAAAACTATAATGTCAAACTGTCGCAAGACTAGCAGTGTAGTGAAGATGCAGCTTAGTGACTAAGTCGTGAGCATGGGCCTTTGTCCCCGCAACCTTACAGCATGCTCCCTGGTAAAACTTGAGACCCTCCAGCAACTTCCTGGCAAAGGGAAATGTAGTTGGTCATTGTTTCTATTATGGATTTTTTTTTTAATTGAAATTGAAACAGATGCCGAAATCACCTGTACTCTCGTAAACCTTCCGGTAACACTTTGTGGATTCTGGGATTTGCGAATCATCATTTAAGAAGTATAGCCTCTCCTCTCCTGAGCTGACCTCCGTCGCCAGCCTGGTCCCCTCCCGCTGTTCTGGTTTGGAGATTTCAAACCCTTTAACTATGTGACCAAAAGAGGCAATGGGACAGGCAAGGACTGAATTGGGTCCTGAAGGATGGATAAATATTTGCCATACAGATAAGGAGGGATTGGGAGATACAATTTTTAATCTCTTAAGGTTTATGAGAAGATTCTGGAAAAAAATCTGTACTTAATAACCTGTCATATTCTGTGGGTAGAGAAAAATATACCCTGATTAAAATTCTTATTGTGCTTTTAAAGTTAGAGAAATATTAGTTCTAGGAGTCGGGGTGCCGGGGGGCAGAGGCAGTTATGTAGTGTAAAAGCTTCTGCTTCTGGTTTTCGTACCTGCCAACTCTTCCTCCTTCCAGTTTTTCTGTCCAGGGTTTAATAAAACTAAGTACATTAAACTCCGTTTTGAAAACTCATATTTAGTCCCTCTAGTTAGTAAACTTGATGTGCCTAAAGTCTTCTGTGCCAGACACTGTACTGAACATTTTAGACAGAAAAGTTTTAAAGGAGATGCAGATGGTCTTGGAGGAAACCTCTGTATAGTTGTGTTCAGAAACTGAATCCCCTTCTTTTTAAATGTGTTTTAAAATTTGTATATATATTGGGAAATTGAAAGTATTATTTGAAATAGGCTGTGTAGAATTCAGTAATTGGGGGAGGGGGCTGGGAAGTGGCTGGGTTCTTGTCTTATGGTGTAGAATTACTCAGCTCTGATTGGTTGTGAGTTTGCTTATGGCTGTTCTGATTTTTACCGTTGCAAGATAATGGCTTAGTAGTGATTTTCTCTTGTGTTGCAAATATCTCAGTTTAACTGCTGCTACAATACAAAGCCTTTAGTCCTAAGAATTTCAGGAAAAATATGAAATTTGAATACATGGTAATACACTCATTTTGTAAGGTATTCACTTTGTGTGTTGGTATTGATTTTGCTATTTGTGTCTAATCTACCGGGGAATTGCTAACCTCAGGACACAAATGTCAGATTCTGGACCTAGACTCTGAACCAAATGACATAAGAATTTGGTTCACAGAACATTTTAAGTTTCACTGTAGTTGTTTTTATAAAATACAGAGGCTCAATGACAACTCACTAGATTTTTGTCATCTAGAAAAACTATAATATTATATATGAAGGCTTTCAATTAGTTTAAAGGAAAAATTACAGAAAGTAAATATAACTTTGCATTCAATAATAAAACAATTTAAATATGTGTTTTAGTTTTAAGACATGGTAAAAATTTCTAAAGTAATACTCAAGCTTAATTTTTAGAAAGAATTCATTAACCCAGTTGCATTTATTTTTTATTGAAGTAGTACCATTAATATTTTTTTCTAAATGTTATCTTTTTGTGAAGTAAGCATTCATTAATTGTTTTAACCTGTGCAATTCCCTAAGAAAACTGTTTTCACAAAGACAGTACTTTGAAAAATGTTTAAACTTTTATTTCTGGGCTTTATTTCCATTCTTTTAATTCTTGATATAAAGAGCAATTCCTTTCAAATTATTGAGCACACATGGACATATTATCTACCTATTCTTGCACTAAAAAAAAGCCAGAGAGCTTCTGCATATCCACTGTTGCTATCAGTTGTGTATGTCAAAAATATTTCCTGTCAGGTTGTTAATTGAGATAGTGCTGGATGGAGCCAGCATTTTAAATAAAAGTGAGAGTAGGCAAAAAACTAAACCTTCTGTTTACTAGCCCAGAAAGACTAACACGTAACACTCAGACTAATATAGATGAAATCCAGGAGCTATGGCTCACTCCTGTAATCTCAGCATTTTGGGAAGCCGAGACGGGAGGACCACTTGAGGCCAGGAGTTCAAGGTCAGCCAGGGCAATATAGCAAGACTCCTGTCTCTGCAAAAAGTTTTAAAAAATTAGTCAGAGGTGGTGGTGCCAGCCTGTAGTCCCAGTTACCCCGGAGGCTCTGAGGGTGGATTACTTGAGCTCCGGAGTTCGAGGCTGCAGTGAGCCATGATCGCACCACTGCACTCCAGCCTGGGTGACAGAGTGAGACCTTGTCTCTAAGAAAAGGAAATAGATTTATTAGTGTCTTCTGTTTGCCAGGCTTTGAGCCAGGTACAGGACTAGAGTGATGAATGAAACACTGTGTCTGCCCTCCCAAGTATTTTACGATCCAGTTGTGTATGATGGCAAGTAAATGGGTAAATAATGATCCAGTATGATAAATGCTGCTAAAGAGGGAAGTCATCTTAGGAAATCAGGAAGAGTTTCCCAGTGGAAGAGACAAGCAAGCTGACATTTCCTCTTGTTAGCTTTTCCTTCTTAAACATTCCATCAGAATCCATGAAATAAACCGATGGAAAAAAACTGATAAAGATTTTTCCTATTTTGAAAAAACCGTTAATTTGCTTCATAGTCCAGGAAAAAACCATGCTGGTTTGATTCAGAAGTTAACAGATCAGATGTGTTTGACCTGGTTTTTTTGTTGGTGGATTATTTCAACTAAAGTTCTCATTATACTTTAAAATATTTGTTAAAACTTGTATCCCTTCCCAAATTATACACATTTAAAAATGTTTAAAATTTCAAAAATTAAACGTAGGACTTTCTGTCTTATATTTTTACCATCCAATTTATACATAAGTATATATAGACAATGTACTGTTGCTGCTTAATGCAAAATAGTTGTCCTTAAAGCAATTTAGCATTTGTTTACAAATATATATGTATAATTTTGCTCCTGATTTGAAACTGCAATTTTATATATTTAGAGGGAAAAAAGCCAAATCATGCTAGAGTGCACTAGATTTCATGTAAGAGCTGTTTGGAGCAGTGGAAGAGTCTCAGAGGACTCAGTGTGTTTTCATACTTCGTGTTCTTTCATGTAAACCTGATTTGAGAAATTCGTCATCACTTTTTCCTTTACAGAAACTTTATAACAAGTCAGCATCCATTTGTAGTCTCTGGTTCATCTCAAATGTTTAGCCTCTTCTCCTTTTTTTGTTTTTTGATGGCCTTTGTCATGTTTCATCCTAAATTTATATCTCTAGGCGCAACTCCTCTTGTGAACTCCAATTGTTCATTCTTAGTCTTGGCTTGGATTTCAAATTTAACTTAACCAAAACAGAACTGTTGGACTTGCTCTCAACTCCCTGTAACCAAATTTGTTCCTGTTAAATTCTTCCTCATCTTAATAAATGGTAGCTATGATCTTCCACTTGCTTCGGCCAAAAACTCGAGCATTATCCTGACTCCTTTCATTCCCCACAAGCCGTCCCGCAGTAAGTAAGGCCTGTTGGCTGTGCTACCCAGTTCTCCTGCTACCGACATCCGAGTCACCATTGTCTATCACCTGGGCTATAGCAGTGACTTCCTAACCATTTTCTCCACTTCCATTCACCTTTTTATAGCCCATTCTCTACACAACAGCCAGAATGATCCTTTTAAAGCAGAAGTCAGACTCCTTCATGCCTTGGCTCAAAATCCAGTGGCTTTCTATCTTCTTCAGAGCAAAACCCAAATATGGCAGTAGGGCCGTAAGTGATCCCACTCCGTCTTTGAGCTCGTGTTTTGCCCCCTACTTTCTTGCTCCGCTTTGGTCACACTAGCCTCTTTGCTGTTCCTCTGTTACCACGGGCATTCCTAGCGTAGGGCCTTCGCACTTGCTCTTTCTCCTGATATGAGCCTTTATCGCCTATAAATACACACGTTCATTTCAGCAGTCCCTTCAGGTCATTGCTTAAATGTCAACTCATCCTAAAGAGCTTTCTTGACAACTTTTTTTCTCTGTAAGGACCTTGTTTCTCTCCTTGGCATTTATCTACATGTGACAGTTTTCTATCATTGGGTTTTTTAAAAAATCTGTGTATTCAACTAGAACTTGAGCTCCACGGAGGCAGGAACTTTTGTTTTGTTTTTCTTCACTGCTCTTTTCCTCGCACCTGTCTGAAGCAGTGATTTTAGCCAGAATCTAGATTTCCTGATTCTGGTCCAGTGCTCTTTCCATGGTTCTGTGTGACCTCATACATCAACCTTATTTCACAAACGAGGTTTTTAAGTTCCTTGAGCACAGTCGATTGTGTTTTTTACTGCTTCTGCTCCGTCCCTGCATAAGACAGGACTGTGTCATGTACCCAGTGATGGACTCCTGGTAAATACCATGGCTTGACTAAATGACCTCCAGTGCTCCCTGTGGTCTTCACCAACACGCATCAGACGACAGGCTCAGTCACGGGATACTTCGCTTTCTGTAGGAGTAAGAGACAAGTTGCTATCACTGAACAGATACACAGTGGCATTTGGAAACTGCATGCAGTTTGAAAAAATCGTGATACAGCAGGAGTCTAGTTTTCAATAAATAGCTTATTCATATTCTGGATTTTGAACAGTTCATGTAACTGTAACTTTGGGGTAGTGGATAATGAGACTGAAATTAATGGTTCCTCTGCTGGTTTCCGTCTGTTTTTTTTTTTTTTCTCCCAGGAGGTTGGTATTTCTGCACTTAACCACCTGATGTTTTTAGGGGGAGTATATCCCAGATAAATTCTGTTGTAAGTCAAAGAGCATCCATGATTGGCTTGGCTCTTTCTTAAGCAACTACTAAGATGCTCCTACATTTGGGTTTGAACGTTTTTTATTCTCTTGGCTATGAAGTTTCTTAAGTGACTCTAGTAATACTGATGGTTCCCCTTGTGTTTACAGGTGATCTGCAACTCTTTCACCATCTGTAATGCGGAGATGCAGGAAGTTGGTGTTGGCCTATATCCCAGGTATGGTGTATGGTACTTCATGTACTGGAAGACACACTTTCATTCCCACCCAAATCCCCAGCCCTTTGGAGGTAGTTAGAAAGGCAGTTGCTGCAGCTTGTTCAAGAGCCAAGCTTAAAACTTAGCAATAAATTACAAAAAAATGGAAAATGTTAAGTTGAAAGAAAACAGTTTTATAACCCCACATTATATGCTGTGATATTAACAAAGGGGCAGATCTCAGAACTAAACTCTTGTTCTCAGGGGGACTTTGGGTGAAGAAGTTGAGGACGGTGGGTGCTAATTAACCATCGGGCTGATTTTTGGTTATTCCCCAGTTTCCTGAGCTGCAGCACATGCTGATTTCACCGGACTTGCCGTACGTATCAGTTGGGTTCATGTTGTCTTTCGAGTTGGCACACTCTGAGCCCTTTCACTCAAGGAGGCAAGAAAACTCTCAGGCTTTGGCCCCTGAATGCTCTCTCCAGCTATTGCTGAGCTGACTCTTACCACTGAGCTATGAAACCGTCTCTCCACAAGCACTATAGGCACACCCAGTTTCATTTTGTTTTTATGCCATAAGAGTCCAAATACAAATTTAGACTTTCTAATAATTGTGAATCTAAGAATTCAGCCTTTTTTCTTATTTCTCACAATTGTCATTAACTGTAGGTCAGGTCTACTGGTAGGTGGTTCTCAAAAGGCAGTAACATAGGATGATTCAAAGCATGGGCTCTGCGTTCAGGCCACCTGGTCCAAATTCCATCACCACTTACTAGCTGTATGTCCTTGAGCAAGTCATTTAATTTCTGTGCATCAGTCTCTTTACCTGTAAATGATCCTCATAAGATTGTTGTGAGGATTAAATGTGATGAACATGCTCAAGTGCAAGAAAGTGTTTCTACATAGTAAGTGCTCATTCTAATTATTACCAATTCCTGATAGCAGCTTAAATCCATTTTGTTTCCCAGATGGTAAGAAATGTCCCTCCAAGGTAATAAAATGACTGGACCATGGCCCAGGATGCATCAGGATGTAGGTGGCAAAATAACGTCAGCTCTCTATTTAAGAGCAAATAGTCCTAATTATTTTTCAGTGTGGATGTTCTAGCAAAGGCGGCCATTTCTCCAAAGGAGCTCAACAAATGAGATCCTATGGGAGAGGTCAGTGGTATCTTGGCTGCTGCATCCCATTATGTCTGAGTATTTTTTTTTTTTGAGATGGAGTCTCACTCTGTCACCCAGGCTGGAGTGCAGTGGTGCGATCTCGGCTCACTGCAACCTCCGCCTCCTGGGTTCAAGCGATTCTCCTGCCTCCACCTCCTGAGTAGCTAGGACTACAGGCATGTGCCACCACACCCAGCTAATTTTTTTGTATTTTTAGTAGGGACAGGGTTTCACCATGCTGATCAGGCTGGTCTCAAACTGCTGGCCTCAAATGATCCACCCACCTCGGCTTCCTAAAGTCCTAGGATTACAGGCGTGAGCCACCACACCCAGCTGTCTAAGTATTTCTTTCTGAGTCAGTTTCTTTCTGACCTTCGTGTTGGGTTGCCTTATTGACTGTTATCTAATCAGTCAACTATGCCCCAATCCCCAAAAAGGACTCAGGAAATTTTTTTATTATTAAATGACGGAATTCCCTAGTTAGCCTGCATCTTGAGGAGAATTGCACTTCGTGGGAGGTGTGCTAGTGACATTTCTGTGAATGCATCCCCGAGTACTGAACCCCTGGCATCCTGTCAACCCTACCTGCTGCTGCCCCCCAAAGGAAGGTGTATTTTACCCACTGCATTTGTTAAATTTAGTTGACTCTACCTGCTGAGCTGTGACAGTCTTCCCCCCTTTTTTTTTCCAGTATCTCTTTGCTCAATCACAGCTGTGACCCCAACTGTTCGATTGTGTTCAATGGGCCCCACCTCTTACTGCGAGCAGTCCGAGACATCGAGGTGGGAGAGGAGGTAAGGAAACTCATGCTTCCCAGCCTGGCCTTCTTTCCTATCAAAGACCCTCTCAGCTCGGCCCGTCCCTAAAACTGATTGTGCCTGAGGGGACAACTTTTCATTGTCCTTCTGCCAGTGAGAGTATTTGTAGTTCAGTCACCTCTCCCCAGCAACCTATCCTTTCTTCTCCCAAATTACAAATGGGCTAATTTTTTAGGGGAGAGGTCACCATATTTCTGGATGATGACAGTTCCTGTCCTGTGTGTGAGAGAGAGAGGAGTTTGTGTATGACAGAGGGTGTGTGTTTTATGCACACACAGGGAATTCATGAAATCTCCTCAGTGGCAACAGCTGAGCAGCCTCTCATATCCTTCCGTGGGCAGGGGGGGGCATCCCAGCTTGTGAGTGGGATCCCCAAGACTTCTTCACTCGGAAGGCCACTGGCTACATTGAAGGTAATGATGCATGTTAACTTTGTGCTAGTAAAGCAAACAGCTTATACTGTCTCAGGCTGACATTGGGACTTGACAAACCCATCAGCATCTCTGGGTGATCATTTCAGCAAAGATGCAAAGGGAATAGAGGACAGGGAGGATGACCTCCAGCAGTGAACTGGCCTTGACCCCTCCAGTTTGACAGACTGTCCAGCCAGCCTCTTTTGGTGCAGAACCTTCTTACAAGACAGCTGCAAACGGGCTGCTCCAGGGCTCTGAACCTAAGCTTGCACTGGTTTGCACAGTGACTACCCATGCTGAGTTCTGAGTTACAGATATTTCTACTTTCCAGAACCCCGTTTCCTTCTCCTTTCCAATTTGCTAAAGTGGATATTTATTGCAAGGAAAACAGTACTGAAAGCTTTTATTGCATTTATGCAGCACTCAGCCAATAAAACCTCAACTCAGAGGTACCATATTTTATGTAGACAGGGATTTGGCTTTGACAAGATTCTCCCCAAACTGATTTTCAGTGGAAGGAGCCACTTCTTATACAACTACTCGCTAAATTTCCAGATTTTAGGACCAGTGTATGAAATATACTGGGATAGATGTCAGTGAGATGGACAATGTAGTTTTTTCTCTTTTTTTTCTGGGGCCGCAAAGGACTTCAAGGCAGGTAAGAGATGAAACCGCTATCTATTTTCAGCAATATTCATTTGGGGGCTGAAGAGCGGCTGCTGCTGTTGTCGATGATGACGATGTTTTTGCAAATTAAAAAACAAACCAAGTAACTTGACAAAAGCAATTAGAGTTGGTTGGAATTTTCAGAAACAACAAAGAAAGTTTCTTCTATTTTCCTAGGCTCGGCTGCCAGTCATTCTCCCGTGGTTGCTTTTCATTTAGTTGAATAAGACACCTTGTCTTTAGGTGCTGCTTTCACTTTTTCACATCTTTCTCTTTCCATCTCTGGAGCAACAAGCAAATCCTCCCTCTTGCCAAATACGAGACATTTCCACTCAGTGTAAAGCCCTTCAGACTCAGATATTTTTCCCTGTGGTACTTAGCAAGGCATCTTCTCAACAAAAAGAAGGTTCTCCCCACAAGTCCTTCATATATACCAGTTTAAGAGAATAAACATTTCTCCATTCCATTTTGTAGGTCTTGCTGAACAGTGTTTCCCCTGATTCATCATCGTTTCTGTCCACTGTGTCTCTTTGTCTTAATGTTATATGCCCTTCGAGGCTGTTTGTTATGATTTAAACATGTCCCCCAGATTCCATCTGTTGAAAACTTTATCCCCAAATTCTTGCTGATGCTTTGTGGAGGTGGAGTCTTTGGGAAGTAATCCAGATTAGATAAGGTTATCAGGGTGGGAACCCCATGATGAGATTGGTGGCTTTATAAGAAGAGGACACTCCTGCTGCCACCTCATGTGACGCCCTCTGCCATGTTATCAGGCAGCAAGAAGGCCCTCCCCAGATGCCGGTGCCATGCTTTTGGCATCATGCTTCCCAGACTCCAGAACTGTGAGAAATTTATTTATAAATTACCCAGTCTGTGGTATTCTGTTAAAACAGCAGAAAATGGACTAAGATACCCTTTCAATCACATCTCTTGTGTAACTCTTTCCCTGATTTCCCATATTAGAAGAAGTTCTTTTCCTTTGAGTTCTCGCTTATAGTGGTTATTAATACATTTTTGGCACATATTATGGCTGTTTTGGAGACCTCTCTATTTAGAGCTTTATGAGGACAGACAATCGTGTCTTATTTCTGTATCTCTTAGCACTTAGCTTTGCATCCAGGAGGCATTTGATAACTTTTTGTTGAATCGACTCTCTATTATATTGAGCTTACTCTAATGACCGGCAGTATTTCTTGTGGGGACACTATTGCCATTTTGAATGGGACAGTTCTTCATCGTGTGGGATTGTTGCATCATTGGAGAAGACTTGTGTCCTTGGCGTGTGCTTAACTAATGCCTGTAGCCATCCCCCAACAACTAAAATATATCCTATGCCTTTCAAACTGACCCCTTGGAGCAGAGGTAGGGGAGAGGGAGAGCCATGAGAAAAGACAGTTTGAGGCATTGATTAAGCAGGGTAATTCCTATTTATTGTACAAATATTAGCTTTAAATTAAGGAATAAATCTAGACATTTTGTGTTCCCAACATACAAAAATGGTAAATACATGAGGTCGTGGATAACCTAAATACCATCACTTGATCATTACACATCGTATGCAGGTAGCAAAATAGTACCTGGACCCCATAAATATGTATAAATATTATGTATTAATTTTTTGAAAGTTAAAATTCCTTGGGAAAAAATTTTAGACATTTTGGTAATTTCCTATCATGAACTTTGCATTTGGCTTTAGTGCTCATTAGGGCACCCACAGTTTTAATATGAGCTATTTGGGATCTGAGTGTCAGAATATGGGATTCACAATGGAAGACTCAACAGCAACTGAGGCAGAAGTTCCTCAATCAACATTTGTTGAGTAAATTAATGAGACTTCTTAAAGATAAAATAAGAGCTGGAATAGGGCTGGGCACCGTGGCTCATGCCTGTAATCTCAGCACTTTGGGAGGCTAAGGGAGGTGGATCACTTGAGGTCAGGAGTTTGCATCCAGCCTGGCCGACATGGTGAAACCCCGTCTCTACTAAAAATACAAAAAATTAGCCAGGTGTGGTGGCGCACACCTGTAATCCCAGCTACTGAGGAGGCTGAGGCAGGAGAATCGCTTAAACCCAGGAGGCGCAGGTTGCGGTGAGCCAAGATCGCACCATTGCACTCCAGCCTGGGCGACAGAGTGAAACTCCATCTCAGAAAAAAAAAAAAAAAAAAAAAAAGCTGGAATAGAGTCTCAGACATTTACAAATGACTGGCAGTCCTCAGTGGTGTCCCATGGCTCCTGAAAGGAAGGGAATATGAAAGCCAGTCTACTGCCAGTTTAAGATGGGAGCATTTCAAACCTCACACAAGGAGAGCTGGAAAATTGCACAAGGTCTGTGATAACAGAAGTTGCCATGGAAATTTCTCACCCCATGTTTCTCTCTATATAAATCCATCCTTTGGACCCTCTTTGGACAGTTTCCTTGCAAACCAGCAACATTTATAATACTTTGCTATTTAAGGCTCTCCATTGTAATGCTGAGTTATTGGGTCTTTTTTTTTTATTTGACTTTGGATTTTTGTCTCCTCATTCAGCCGCCTCCTACAGAGAGAGATGTGTAATATCATTTAAGTCATGGCTCACTTGACTGGATTGCTGATGGCTACCTTTTCAAAATTATCTTAAATATGAGATTCATTTGTTCTGATAGTTTTATAAAACATGGATCAGGGAGGAAAGCTGGGTAGGCCAAAGCAGTCTTATGGTAGTTCCTGGTTAAAATAACTTGTAGCTGTTACAAATAATGCCATTGGCTGCCAGCATTCTCTGGCGCCATATCAACTGGGAGAAATGTGATTGACACAAGTTGAATGCATTAGTATCCCTAATGTCAGTCTTAATCTGATGTCTTTTGGGATTAAGACAGTCTGTTTCTTCTGTTAGTCATCTTATTTGCTAAACCATTAAACGAATTCACTGCATGTTTACTGGATGTCAGGAGTTGGTAGCAGTTTTAGAAACCTTCTCTAATACAAAGATTATTAAGACCCAGCCCTGACTTCAAGAGTTCAAGGTATAGTTGAGGAAACTGACAGAGAACAGAAAACAATAATAGAATTAAGATGCACAGTGGTGTAAATGGGCACAGGCTTACAGCAGCTCAGAGCAGGAGCACTCGAGTGATTAGTAAGGGGAGGGAGTGGAGAGTGGTTAAGGAATGCTTCCAGAGGACTGACTCCTAGACTCTGAAAGGATCCATGGAGTTAGAGTTGGATGAGGCTGGAAAAGGCATTGTAGACATAGACACAGAGGCCAGGGACAGAATGGTGAGTTCAAGGAGTAGGAAGCAGTTCTCATCAATAGACGACGAAAGAATTTAGATGTGACCCGAATTTGAGGGAAGATGTAGGGATCAGACTGACAAACCCCATGGGAGCCTTATCACAGACCTTGGTTTAGCTGAAGGTTTCATAACATTGGCTGGTCTATAGGAGGCGCCCAGTAAATATTTGTGTAAGGGAGAAGGACGAGCAGCGGGACATGATTGAAGGGTTTCAGCAAAGGAACTGCGTGGCCAGATTTTCTTGTTTTTTTTTTCCTGCATGTTTACAAATGTTACTGTTTTTTATTGTATGTACTATACATAAAACACTTGAAGAAAACAATTTTTAAAACCCCACCCAATTCTAACCCCTGAGTTAGATTTGGGATATCACAAACGAAACATTTTACTCAGTGTACATTCAATTTTACCTCAGTCACTGTTGCTGTAGTGTGAGTTTTTCTCAACTCGTTGAACCATATGATTGAAACGTGATGTTTCCTTTGCCTTTCATTCACTTTTTGTATATACGACCATGGCTATGATGATAGGGAATATTTATAGGGTGATTCAATTTAGGAAGCAATAGATGAAGCCTAATAGGTAAAAACAAAAAACAAAACCCAAGGACTACAAAATTGAGTAAGACCTAAGTAGTCTGTACCATCTTTGGAATCTTAGAAAACTCAGATAATGTTACATATTCATTTTTTTTATTTTATGGAAGAAAATGTAAGGTTTAAACTGGGAAATGATTTGTTCAGTGCTACACTTACTACTACGCAGTGTGGAGGGGGTTAGTAATAAAGCTTCATTCTCAGGATTGAAGTAACAAATTATTTACCTAGGACAGTGCCCAGCACATGATGCTTACTACATAGTGATTTTCTTCTTCCATTTGTGATTAGAGTTTCCTGAAGGGAAAAGTAGAGCTCAAATGGTGAGTGTCCAAAAAAAAAATATGACATTAGAGATTTCTCATAAATTGTGGAAACATATTTAGAGAATCTATCAAAACTATAGTAAATCTCATCTTACGTATCAAAGCAGAATAATTGGTCTTTGGTGGAGGTGGTCTGGCTGATGTTTGGACTCGGCAAGAAAGATTGCTACAACTGTTGAATAACATTTGGTTTGTGTATAGAAGTGTTGGTCCATGATGACATCTACACAGATTATTTTCCATTCTTAAATTAACATTTTCTATAGGCAGTCTTTGTTCTAATACATGCTCCTCTGAAATTGAAGCTGAAAGTGTTATGACCAGTTTCACTTTAAATGAAGGTACCTTTAAGTCTGAAATGAGCCGGTGCTTTCAGGTTTAGGCTGTTGAATACAAATACATACAAGTTTGATTTTTGTTTTTGGCTTAAGATGATAAAATTACTTTTAACGGGGTTTTATTAAATTATATTCAATAAATAACTAAATTGTGATTTCACAGTTAAATTCATTATAAAAGTCCCTGCCCCATTCTTAAGAATGGATAAGTGTAAAAGAAATGTAATTTCATTTACCTTTTGAATTAAGCTAAAAGAATATTTAGTAACCTAATTGTGATTTTTAAAAAAATAATTTCAACTTTTATTTTAGATTCAGGGGGCACATGTGCAGCTGTGTTGCATGGGTATATTGCATGATAGTGAGCTTTGGGGTGTGATGAATCCCATCACCCTGGTAGTGAACATGGTACCCAACAGTTTTTCACCCCTTGCCCTACCTCCCTCTCTAGTAGTGCCAGTGTCTGTCATTGCCATCTTTATGTCCATGAGTACCCAGTGTTTAGTTCCCACTTATAAGTGAGAACATTGGGTGTTTGGTTCGATAGATTCTCTAAATATTTGTTTCCACAATTTATGAGAAATCTGTAATTGCTGGGTTTGGTTTTCTGTTTCTGCATTGATTTGCTTAGGAGAATGGCCACTAGCTGCATTCATGTTGCCACAAAGGACATGATGTCATTCTTTTTTATGGCTGCATACTATTCCATGGTATGTGTATATATATATATATATATATACACCACATTTTTTAGCTCACTGTTGATGGGCACTTAGGTTGATTCTATTTCTTTGCTATTGTGAATAGTACTGTGATGAACACGTGAGTGCATGTGTGTTTTTGGTAGAATGACTTATTTTCTTTGGGTATATACCCAGTAATGGGATTGTTGGCTCAAATGGTAGTTCTGAGCTCCTCTCCAAACTGCTTTCAACAGTGGGTTAACCAATTTACATTCCCACCAATAGTGTATAAGTGTTCCCTTTTCTCCACAGCTTCACCAACATTTGTTATTTTTGGACTTTTTAGTAATAGCCATTCTGACTGGTGTAAGATGGTTTCTCGTTGTGGTTTTGATTTGCATTTCTCTGATTAGTGATGTGGAGCATTTAAAACCATGTTTGTTGGCTGCTGGTATGTCTTCTTTTCAAATGTGTCTGCTCATGTCTTTGGCCCACTTTTTACTTGGGTTATTTGCTTATTGAATTGCTTAAGTTCCTTATAGATTCTGGGTATTAGACCTTTGTCAGATGCATAGTTTGTGAATATTTTCTCCTATTCTGTAGGTCGTTTGTTTACTTTGTTGATAGTTTCTCTTGCTGTGCAGAAACTCTTTAGTTTAGGTCCCACTTGTCAATTTTTGTTTTTGTTGCAATTGCTGTTGAAGACTTAGTCATATGTTCTTTCCGAAAGCTGACGTCCAGAATGGTGTTTCTTAGGTTTTCTTCTAGGGTGCATAAAGTCTGTGGTCTTACATTTAAATTTTTAATCTTTGTATTAATTTTTATATATGGTACAAGGTAGGTGTCTTCTGCATATGGCTAGCCAGCCGTCCTAGCACCGTTTATTGAACAGGATGTCCTTTGCTCATTGCTTATTTTTGTATGACCACTTTTCTATGTGTAGGCAAGGTTGGGAGAATGAGCGTCGGGGTGATGTAATAATCCAGGGAAGAGATAACAGTGGTAGCCTGAAGTCGGGGAGCTCAGGTGGTGGCTTGTGATAGGGTACCTGAAGACTATAATATTAAGAAGATAAAATTAGCAGGATTTGTGAAACAAGGACACAACTTGTGAAACAAGAGACACAAAGATACTCAGGTTTGACTTTAAAAAGAAGTGACATTTTTCAGGCTTTTTTCCAGTTCAGAGCCAGTATTAACAGAAACATTCATAACTGTGATCACGGAATTCTAGAAATGAAACAAGGTCTAATTTTAACTTGGTCATCTTTTTTTTTTTTTTTTTTTTTTTTTTGAGACGGAGTCTCGCTCTGTCGCCCAGGCTGGAGTGCAGTGGCATGATCTCGTCTCACTGCAAGCTCCGCCTCCCGAGTTCACGCCATCCTCCTGCCTCTGCCTCCCGAGTAGCTGGGACTACAGGCGCCCGCCACCACGCCTGGCTAATTTTTTGTATTTTTAGTAGAGACGGGGTTTCACCGTGTTAGCCAGGATGGTCTCAATCTCCTGACCTCGTGATCCTACCGCCTTGGCCTCCCAAAGTGCTGGGATTACAGGCGTGAGCCACCGTGGCCGGCCTTAACTTGCTCATCTTATCCACTCAGTTGTAGACAATGAAAAGATGGTTTCATGGAAAAGGAGTTCATTTTGTCTTGAGATTTTAATGTAAGCTATGTATTCAAGATCTAGAAAATCTCCTTCATTATATTACTCTAATGTCAGAAATGATTTACTGCATTTTCTATAAGAGCTGCACTAAAATGGCAGAGCAGTGGTCAATGGCATTAATATTTTAATGCAATTTTGTTCTGTGCCATTAAGGTGTCTACTGATCAATGGCCAAGTTTCACATATACATTCCCACTAAATGAGCCTTACATTTACTGAGCAGATATTCCATTACAACTAGTGAGTCAATGAGTCTTTAATAAAGGTTTTTATCTTTGGCTAATAACATGATTTTAGCTGTCATTACCAGTTAGTAATCTGGCTGTTTTTTCCCAAAAATATGAATAAAATATTTTTGCCATTAAGCACTTCACAATTGATAACCAGATATTCTGCAGACTTCATTGGCATAAAAGAAGCACAAAAATGGGTGGCTTTCTCTGAGGTAATGGGGCAGTCGCCATAGGAAGAGGTGTATTTGAGCCAAGCTTGGAGGATGAGAGGCTCTCAGGAGGCTGAGTGTGGAGGAGAGGCTCGCTTAGCCAGTGATGCCCAGACACATGTTGGCATGGTGTTCATTGTTTCAGAGGTCTAGCAATGTACATAACTGTGACAGGCTGGGGTTCAGGGAGAGACATGGAGGCTAGAAAGGCAGACAGAAAAACAGCTGAGGGAAATCCTTGTGTGCCTTTATTCAAGGGCAGTGAGAAACCATCGCAAGTTTTTATGTAGAGAAATGACGTGATCACATGTGAGTTTTAGGAAGATCTCTCTCAAAGCAGTTTAGAAGATGAAAGGTACACTGCAGGCAGCGGGGAAGCCAGTTAGAAAGCCATTGCGTAGTCCAGGTAATGGTTCCAGGCAGTTACAGTATGCCGAGGGAGGCTTTAGGAGCCCATTTATTGGGGTTAAATGAAATAACTAGTCTCCTGTTGGCCATTCACTGCCTGACAAGATCACTCATGAGTTTTGGCCCTTGTAATAAAGTCTTGGGTTAGTCAAGCACATTTTTTTCTGGCATGACAGGCCCTGGAGTTAGTGGCTTCACACTGGGCACACTGTAATCTCCCAATAACTACTGTCCATTTACCTGCTCTGATAATGGGAGTTGATGACTAAGAGCCATTGGGCTGGATTCAGAATTAGTGTCCTAGAGTTAACCCAAGAGGGGACATAGGGATGCGCTCATTTGCTACCTCACCTCCTGTAAGGAAACTGGGACCCACAGAGCCTGATAGTATAAGATGAATCTATCTACTGTCCCAGACTTACTCATAGGCTGTTTCAAAAAGTGAGCTTGGAAATAGGTTATTTGGAATTTGGAACATAGCATTCATTAGAAACAAGAGGAACTTGCCTGGTATAGGTGACCCTTTGTGCCTCAGAGGCAACCCTGGCTTCAGATCATGAAGCAAGAGAAACATGGAGGAAATCAAAAAGTGGCTGTTGTCTCAGCTGAAGGATCTCAGTTGCCACAGAACATTCTCTAACACAGGTGTGAGTATTTTAGGTTTGACGGTGCTACGGACACTCCTTAAGGGACGCCAGCTTCTTCTACAGCCCTCTCTCCCTGCCAAGTATGAGAAGCAGCCATGTAAAAGTAAAAAGAGCATCAGACTTATCAAGAGATCTGGGTGCAGTCTTCAGTGTTACCTGAACCCAAGACCTTTGCCAGTTTTTACTGTGCTATGCTGCCTCGCCACAAACAGTAGATACTCAGTAACGTCATTGTCTGTATCTCTTAAGGGCAGATATTCTTGTTTCTGTGTGTGGAGCAGCATGTTATGGTTGCCTAATGTGAAGAATCTATGGAGAGCCAGCCAGCCAGATCAGGCTGTGACTCCTGTCCCGTTGGTGATGGTGACGGCCATGGTGGATTTGACAGATCTGGCTGGCCAGCCCAGCCATCCACCATCACCCCTACAGCTTGAGAGAGTCCTTCCCAAAGCTTTGTTTTCTGCCAGAGAGGGTGGCTGCCTTTGCCCTACTATGATTTCAAACAAGTAAGATCATGCTTTGTAGACATGAGATGCTTTCTTTTAAGTATAACAAAAACCACATGGAGTTTTCTGCTCTAGGGAGTTTTTTGCATCCCTTCAGTGGATAATCCTGCCTTCTTGCTCTGCCAAAGTCTTCACTTCTCCCCCCACCACACATACCGCCATGATTACTTTCTACTTTTAAAAGCAAAGAAGTAATTTCTACAGTCTGGTACAAGCTGATATATGATACAGGAAAAGAAAAACTAGAGCAGGTAAGGGAATTGGGTTGTTACTCTTAATAGGGCATTGAGGTTAGACCTGAACGAGAAAGTGGGATTTGACTGAAACTCAAAGGCGATGAGGGAGGTTGTCATAGTAAACGGGGCAGAAGGGCAGAGGGAACAGCCAGTGCACAGGCCTTGAGGTAGGAGTGTGTGTGGAGCCAGACGGGAGGCCAGCCTGGTGGAGCAGCAGCAATGAGGGAAACTGGGAAATGAGAGGGAACAGGTGGGATTATGTGAAGCCATTGCTTCTCTACCTATGACGAAGGACCAGTTTTTCTTTTCCTTCATAATCTATTGCAGACCAGTATTTTTATAAAATCTAGTGAAAATAAATTATTAGAAAAATGAAGGGCTGGGTGCAGTGGCTTACGCCTGTAATTCCATGGGAGGTCAAGGAGGAAGGATTGCTTGAGCCCAGGAGTTCAAGACCAGCCTGGGTAGCATGGCGAAACTCCATCTCTACAAGAAATACAGAAAATTAGCCAGTGTGGTGGTACATGCCTGTAGCCCCAGCTACCTGGGAAGCTGAGGGGTGGGAGGATCACCCAAACCTGGGAGGTTGAGGCTGCAGTGAGTTGTGATCATGCCACTGCACACCAGCCTTGGTGGCACAGTGAGACCCTGTCTTTTTTTTTTTTTTTAAAGCCCAATGTTTTATTATTAGAGTCACATAAAATTACCCTTACCAAATTAGTAAAAAACATTTCTAAATATTGACTTTGTTTCTTGACTCATGTCGTCATGGACTGGTAACCCACAGTGCGCACTGGCACCAATGCGGGGACCATACTTTGAATTGCACTTGGGGAGTTAGAAGGACCTGGCCTTCACTCAGGCAAAGTGGGGAGCTGTTGTGATGTTTCAAACAGAACATGTCATCTGACATATTTTATGTGAATCACTCTGGCTAGAGGGTGGAGTGCAGGGGGCCTGGAGAAAGAATCAGAGAGACCAGTTGTGAGACTATTACATTTTACAGGTGAGAGGTAATGATGGCTCAGACCAGGATGGTGGCACTGGAAAAGGTAAAAAGTGGTTGATTCTGGGTAGTTTTTAAGGTGGAGCCCGCAGAATTTCCTGGTGGATTGGATGGCAAGTGTAAAGGAAAGAGTGAAGTCAAGGATGACTCTGAGGCTTCAACTTGGATAAGTCAAAAGATGAGTTACTGTCAACTGAGAGTGAGAATGCTCTAGCCGAGATGGAACAGGTTGAGGGGAAGATCAAGCATTCTGTTTTCTGGATTTTGAATTAGACTTTCATAAGAGATCTAATCAAGTGCAAAATGCTCAAGCATTATGATGTTGCCTAAAGACCCGTGACTTAATGGGACTCAGTGTTAGAGAGTGTCCGAGGAGTCCTTTAAATATATCCTCTCATTTATAACCCTTCACCATCCGAGGCAGGGGATATTACTCTGAAAGGGTGTAAGGCAGTCAGTTTGAATGCTTCCATCAGTGGTGGTACTCTCAAGTTAAACTCTCCCCTATTTGGAAATTATTCTACCCCCCCTTTTTTTTCCAAACCTAGATACAAATAAGAGAACTGTTTTCTCATTTCAAAGATACCAAATTTGGATGACCTTAAATTCCATGAGGCAGCTATAGAATTGGTTAGAATTTAAGAGCAATCTGGCTGTATCATCTGCCACCCTTTCGGTTGCCAGGATTAATTTGGCTTCTCTGATTGCTAATGGTTATAGAATTTATTAGCAAACCTTAGTAAACATACAACAGTTTTTGATATTTTCCTGTAGTGAAAAAAACTAAGATACAAAAGTGGGTAGAGATCATAAGACCCGTTCTTTAAATATATGATACATATATATTTACCACATAGCAAAGACTGAAAGGAAATAGATTAAAAATTTACGTGTGATCATTTGGGTAGAGAAACTATAAGCAGTACCTTCTCTCTTATATTTTTGGTTTATAATAAAAACAAGTTTTACTCCAATAATTAGCAATAATAATAACCATTTGTTAAAGAAATGAGCACAGCAGATGTTTCAGCGCTTCCCTCTCTCTGGCCTGCACAGCTCACCATCTGCTACCTGGATATGCTGATGACCAGTGAGGAGCGCCGGAAGCAGCTGAGGGACCAGTACTGCTTTGAATGTGACTGTTTCCGTTGCCAAACCCAGGACAAGGTATGTAGTATGGAACCAGATTGAAACACCTCCACGGCAAAATCTCAATGATCTTCAGAGAACTCTGCCTAGATTTCATAAACCCAAAAGTAATGACCCTCAGTACATGGTAGGAAACAGATAAATAAGATAACTCATTGAACTGCATATATTTTGTTTCCTGGAACTTTTGTCACCCACCAAGCTGAGATTTAACCGATTTAACCAAAGGTAAGGATCTGTGGAGTTTAGAGTCAAGTGGGAATGTAGGCATTAAATATTTAATTAAAAGGATGGGTGAAGGCCAGAGTGCTAGTAGAACATATGTAGTAAGTGGGTTGAATTACGTTATGATTGACAAGTTATTGCTCGGTAAACAACATACCAAGTTTTACCTAGTTTATTTCTTTAAAAATGTTTTTTAAAATAAAATCAGGTTTGTTGAGGTACAATTTACATGCAAAAAATTTACCCTACTTAGTGAGACAGTTCTATGATTTCAACAAACCCAGTCATGAAACTGCCATCAAAATCAAGATACAGAATGGTTTCGTTTCCCAAAAAAGTGCCCTCATGTCCCTTTATAGTCAACCCTACCACCCCTACCCCAACCCCTGATAACCGCTGATCTGTTTTTTATCCTTATAGTTTTTTCCTTTTGTTTTTAGTTGACACATAATAATTGCACATATTTTGGGATACAGAGTGATACTTAATTATGTGTATACTATGTGTAGTATCAAATCAGGGTAATTAGCATATCTGTCACCTCATATATTTATCATTTCTTTATGTCATGAATATTCAAAATCCTCTTTTAGCGTTTTGAGAATATACAATAAAATAAAGTGAACCATATCCCCCTACAGTGCTGCAGATGAGCAGATTCGTTCCTCCTAAGTTTGTGTTCATTAACCAACCTCTCCCCACCTTCTTAGCCTCTAGTACCCACAGTTCTGCTCTCTACTTCCATGAAATCCATTTTTTTTAATTCCCACATATGAGTGAGAACACGGAGTATTTTATCTTTCTGCACCTGACTGACTTTGCTTAACATAGTGTCCTCTAGGCCCATCCATGTTGCCATGAATGACAGAATATCATTTTCATGACTGAATAATATTCCATTGTGTATGTATGCCACATTTTCTTTATCCATTTTTCCATTGATGGACATAGAGGTTGATTTCATCTTAGTTTTTCTGAATAGTGCTGCTGTAATAAACATGGGGCTGCAGGTATCCCTTGGATATACTGATTTTCTATCCTTTGGATAAATACCCAGTACTGTAATTGCTAGATTGTATGGTAGTTCTATTTTTAGTTTTTTGAGAACCCCTCATGCTGTTTTCCATAATGGCTATACTATTAGGTGGGTGCAAAAGTTATTGCAGTTTTTGCCATTAAAAGTAATGGCAGTGGCCTCATTGTAGAGGCCTTTCACCTCCTTGGTTAAATTTATTCCTAGGTGTCTTTTTTTGGGAGTGGGTAGCTATTAATTTTAATGGCAAAAACCACAATTACTTTTGCACCAGCCTAGTATGAGAGTATGTTTTCCCCACATCCTTGCCAGCATTTGTTATTTTTATTTTTTTTGGTCTTTTTGATAATAGTCATTCTCATTGGGGTGAGATGACACCTCATTTTGGTTTTGATTTGCATTTTCCTGATGGTTGCTGATAAGCATTTTTATTGGCCTTTTCTATATGTGTTAGATAAATATCTATTTAGATCCTTTGCCCTCTTTTGAATTGGAATATTTGTGATATTTTTGCTGTTGAGTTGTTTGAGTTCCTTGTATATTCTGGATATTAGTTCCTTTTTGAATGCATAATTTGCAAATATTTTCTGCCATTTTATAGTTGTCTCTTCACTCTGTTGAGTGTTTCCTTTGCTCTGCAGAAGCATTTTGGTTTAATACAGTCTCATTTATCTATTTTTGTTTTTGTTGCTTGTGCTTTTGTGGTCTTAGCCATAAAATCTTTGCCTAGACCAATGTTCTGAAGTGTTTCCCCTATGTTTTCTTTTTTTTTTTTTAAATTATAGTTTAAGTTCTAGGGCACATGTGCACAACGTGCAGGTTTGTTACATATGTATACATGTGCCATGTTGGTGTGCTGCACCCATTAACTTGTCATTTACATTAGGTATATCTCCTAATGCTATCCCTCCCCCCTCCCCCCACACCACAACAGGCCCCGGTGTGTGATGTTCCCCTTCCTGTGTCCATGTGTTCTCATTGTTCAATTCCCACCTATGAGTGAGAACATGTGGTGTTTGGTTTTTTGTCCTTGCGATAGTTTGCTGAGAATGATGGTTTCCAGCTTCATCCATGTCCCTACAAAGGACATGAACTCATCCTTTTTTATGGCTGCATAGTATTCCATGGTGTATATGTGCCACATTTTCTTAATCCAGTCTATCATTGTTGGACATTTGGGTTGGTTCCAAGTCTTTGCTGTTGTGAATAGTGCCACAATAAACATACGTGTGCATGTGTCTTTATAGCAGCATGACTTATAATCCTTTGGGTATATACCCAGTAATGGGATGGCTGGGTCAAATGGTATTTCTAGTTCTAGATCCCTGAGGAATCGCCACACTGTTTTCCACAATGGTTGAACTAGTTTACAGTCCCACCAACTGTTTTCTTTTAGTATTATAGTTTCCAGGCTCACAGTAGTTAATTAATTTTGGTTGATTTTTCTGTGTGGTGACAGATAAGGGTTTAGTTTCATTCTTCTGCACGTGGATATCCACTTTTCTGATGACAAATAATTGAAGAGGTGTCCTTTCCCCACTGTGTGTTCTTGGTGCCTTTGTTGACAATCAGTTGCCTATAAATAATGTGTATTTAATTGTGCGTTTTCTGTTCTGTTCCATTGGTCTATATGTCTGTTTTTATACCAATTCCATGTTTTTTTTGTTAGTATAACTTTGTGGGATATTTTGAAGTTAGGTAGTGTGATACCTCCAGCTTTGTTCTTTTTGCTCGGTATTGCCTTGGCTATTTGGGGTCTTTTGTGTTTTCATGTTAATTTTAGGATCATTAGTTCTATTTCTTGAAGAATATCGTTGGTATTTTAATAGGGATTGCATTGAATCTGTAGATTGCTTTGGATAGTATCATCATTTAACAATATTAATTCTTCCAATTAATGAGCATGGTATGCCTTTCCATTTGTGTTCTCTTCAGTTTCTTTTATCAATGTTTTATAGTTCTTATTGCAGAGGCCTTTCACCTCCTTGGTTAAATTTACTCCTAGGTGTCTTTTTTTGGGGGGTGGGTAGCTAGTGTAAATGGGATTACTTTCTTGATTTCTGTTTCAGGTAGTTCATTATTGGTGTATAGAAACACTGCTGATTCTTGCATGTTGATTTTGTATCTTGCAGCTTTACTGAATTTATCAGTTCTAAGGGTATTTTGGTGGAGTCTTTTAGTTTCTCCGTATATAAGGTCATGTTGTCTGCAAAGGGAGGACAATGTGATTTCTTCCAAGTTAAATGCTCTTTATTGCTTTTTAAACATTTTTATTGATATATGATAGTTGTACATATTTGTGTGGTATATGTGGTATTTTGATACCAGCATACAATGTGTAATGATCAGATCTGGGTAACTGGGAGATCCATCTCCTCAAAAATTTATTTATGTTGGGAACATTCTAAATTTTCTCTTCTAGCTATTTTGAAATATACAGTAAACTATTAACTATAGTTGCCCTATTGTGCAGCTGAACACTAGATCTTACTCCTCCTATTGAGCTGTAATCTTGTATGCATTAACCAACCCCTCTTAATCCCTCTACCTACTACTCTTTCCAGCCTCAAAACCACTATTGTATTCACTATCTCTATAAAATCACCTTCTTTTTAGTTCCCATGTATGAGTGAGAACATGAGATATGTCTTTCTGTGCCTGGCATATTTCACATCATGTGATGTCTTTAAGTTCCATCCATGTTGCTACAAATGACAGGATTTTATTACTTTTCATAGAGGAACTATATTCCGTTGTGTGTGTGTGTATATGTGTGTGTATATATATATATATGGCATTTTTTTTTTTACTTATTGATGGACATTTAGGTCGACCCCTGCCTTGGCTATTTTGAATAGTGCAGCAATAAACATGGGAGTGCAGATCTCTCTTTGATATTCTGATTTCCTTTCTTTTGGATCTATATCCAACGTTTGGATTGTTTGGTTATATGGTAGTTGCGTTTGTAGTTTCTTGAGGAACCTCCTTACTGTTGTCCATAGTGGTTGTACTAATTTACATTCCACCAACAATGTGTGAGCCTTCCCCTTTCTCCACATCCTTGCCAGCATTTGTTATTTTCTTACTTTTTTATAGTAGCCATTTTAACTGGGGAGATGATAGCTCATTGTGGTTTTAATTTGCATTTCCCTGACCATTAATGTTATTGAACATTTTTTTATATATCTGTTGGCCATTTCTATGAATTCAGCATATTTTGCCTGTTCTTAATTGGGTTGTTTTTTGCTATTGAGTTTGAGTTCCTATATATTGTGATTATTAATCTCTTGTCCAATGAATACTTTGCAAATTTTTTTTTCAATTCTATAGGTTGTTTCTTCATTGATTATTTTCTTTGCTGTGCAGAAGCTTTCTAGCTTGATTTGATCTCATGTTTCTATATTTGCTTTGGTTGCCTGTGCTTTTGAGGTCTTGCTCAATAAGTAGTTGCCCAGCTCAATGTCTGAAGTGTTTACCCAATGTTTTCTTATAGTAGTTTCATGGTTTTAGGTCTTATATTCAAATATTTAAGCTGTTTTGATATGACTTTTGTATATGGGGAGAGATAGGGGTCTAGTTTTATTCTTTTGCATATGGGCTATCTAGATTTTCCTTTCTCAATGTATTTTCTTGATGACTTTCTTGAAACTCCATTGACTAAATGTGTGGATTTGTTTCTACGTTCTTTCATGTGTTCCATTGGTCCATATGTCCATTTTTATGCTAGTACCATGCTTACTTTGCTTTTTGTAATTTTATAGAGCATTTTCAAGTCAGGTAACGTGATGCCTCCAGCTTTGTTCGTTTTGTCCAGGATTGCTTTTGTTGTTCCATATGAATTTCCGGATTGCCTTTTTCTTTTCATGTGCAGAGTGTCATTGATATTTTGATATGGATTACATTGAAAATGTAGATTGCTTTGGATAGAACGGTCATTTTAGCAGTATTCTTCCAATCCACATGGGCTATCTTTCCAATTTATTATGTTCTCTTCAATTTCTTTTATCAATGCTTTATACTTTTATTGTAGAGATCTCACTTTTATTAAGTTTAGTCCTAGGTGTTTATGCTATTTTATTGTAGCTGTTGCAAATGGGATTGCTTTCTTTATTTGTTTTCAGATGTTTGCTGTTGGCATATAGAAATGCTACTGATTTTTGTATGTTGATTTTGTATCCTGCGACTTAACTGAATTTATCAGTTTAACAGTTTTTGTTGGAGTCTCTTGGTTCTAGATGTAAGATCATGTTGTCTGTGAACAAGGCTAACTTGAATTCTTCCTTTCTAATTTGAATGCCCTTTAATTTTTTCTCCTGTCTAATTGCTCTGGCTAGGAATTCCAGTACTGTGTTGAGTAAAAGTGGTGAAAGTGGACATCTTTGTCTTGTTCCACGTGGTAAAGGAGGGGCTTTCAGTTTTTCCCAATTAAGTGTGATGCTAGCTTGGGGTTTGTCATATATGGCCCTTATTTTCTGAAGTATGTTTCCCTCATACCCAGTTTGTTAAGATTTTTTTCATCATGAAGGCATATTGAATTTTATTGAAAGTTTTTTTCAACATCTATTGAAATGATCATATGGTTTTGTCATTGATTCTGTTAATGTGATGTATCACCTTTATTGATTTACATATGTTCAACCATCCTTCCATCCCTGAGATGAACCCACTTGATTATGATGAATGATCTTTTTAATGTTGAATTTGGTTTGCCAGTATTTTGTTGAAAAAAAAGTGTGTCTATGCTAATCAGTGATATTGGCCTTTAGTTTTTTGTTGTTGTGCCTTTGTCTAGTTTTAGCATCAGGGTAATGCTGGTTTTACATAATGCTGGTTTTATATATATACTTTGGAAGTATTTCCTCCTCCTAATTTTTCTGGAATAGTGGGAGTAGAATTGGTATTCATTCTTTTTTAAATGTTTGGTAGAATTCAGCAGTGAAGCCATCAGGTCCTAGGCTTTTCTTTGATGGGAGGCTTTATTACTGTTTCTATCTCATTACTTGCTATTGTTCTGTTCACGTTTTCTGTTTTCTTCACGGTTTAACCTTGGTAGTTTGTGTGTGACTGGGAATTTATCCATTTCTTCTAGGTTTTCCAATTTATTGGCATACAGTTGTTGCTAACAGTCTCTAATCATGCTTTGAATTTCTGGGGAATCTGGTATAATGTCCCCTTTTTCCTCACTGATTTTACTTATTTGAGTCTTTTTCTTTCTTAGTCTAGCAAGTCGTTTATTAATTTTGTTTATCTTTTCAAAAAACTTTTTGTTTCATTGATCTTTTGTATTGTATTGTTCTTTAATCTCTGTTTTGTTTAGATCTGTTTGGATCTTTATTTCTTACCTTCTACTAATTTTGATGTTGGTTTATTCTTGTTTTTCTAGTTCCTTGAGATACATTGTTAGACTTTTTAACTTGAAATCTTCCTACCTCTTTTATAGAGGTGTTTATTGCTATAAACTTCCATCTTAACACTACTTTTGCTGTAACCCATACATTTTGATATGTTGTATGTCCATTTTCATTTGTTTGAATAAAGTTTTTGATCTTTTTCTCAATTGCTTCACTGACCCAAGAAGCATGTTTAATTTTCATGTATTTGTACAGCCAAAGTTTCTTTTACTGATTTCTAGTTTTATTTCATTGCAGTCTGAAAAGGTACCTGATATGATCTCAGTTTCTAAAAATGTGTTAAGCCTTGTTTAGAGGACTAATGTATCATTTATCTTGGAGAATGTTCCATTTACTGATGAGATGAAAGTATATTCTACAGGTGTTGGATGTATGTTCTGTAAACATCTGCTGGATTCCTCTGTGGTACAGATTAAGTGTGATATTTTTCTGTAGATTTTCTGTCTAGATGATCTGTCCACTGCTGAAGTCCCCAACTATTAGTGTATTGGGGTCTCTCTGTCTATTTAGCCCTAATAATATTTGTCTTGTATATCTGGGTGCTCCAGTTTGGGCGCATATATGTTTACAATGGTTATATCCTATCGCTGAATTGATGTTTTTATCATTTTTAATGACCTTTTGTGTCTCTCTTTGTTTTTTGACTTAATGTCTATTTTGTGTGATACACTACAGCTACTCCTGCTCAGCTTTGGCTTCTGTTTGCGTGGAGTATTGTTTGTCATCCCTTCACTTTTTTTTTTTGAGATGGAGTCTCACTCTATCACCACGTTGGAGTGCAGTGGCGCGATCTCAGCTCACTGCAACCTCCAACTCCCTGGGTCAAGGGATTCTCCGGCCTCAGCTTCCTGAGTAGCTGGGATTACAGGCACGAGCCACCACGCCCAGCTGATTTTTATATTTTTAGTAGAGACAGGGTTTCATCATATTGGCCAGGATGGTCTCGATCTCCTGACCTCGTGATCTGCCCACCTCGGCCTCCCAAAGTGCTGGGATTACAGGCGTGAGCCACCATGCCTGGCCATCCCTTCACTTTTAATCTGGCTTTACAATTGAAGTGATTTTTTTTGTAGGCAGCACATAGTTAGATTCTTTTTGTTGTTGTTATTCCTACCTATCCAGCCAATCTTTTAATTGGGGGAATTTAAACCATTTACAGTTATGGTTATTTATATGAGAGGACTTAGTCCTGACATTTTAAAAATTGTTTTCTGATTGTTTTGTAAATCCTTTGTTCTCCTCTTCCTCTTGTATTGTTTGCCTTTACAGTTTGGTGGTTTTCTGTAGTGATAACATTTGATTCCCTTCTTTTTCCCATTTGCGTATCTGTTCTATCAGTGAGTTCTCTACTTTGGTGTGTTTTCATGATGGCAAATATTGTCCTTTTGCTGCTGGATATAGGACTCTCCTAAGAATTTTTTTTAGAGCTAGTCTAGTGGTGATGAATTCCTTTGGTTTTGGCTGTTATTTCGTTAAATAGGTTTTCTCTGACTTTAAATTATTTTATTTTTTAAAAAATTTGTGGGTACATAGTAGGGGCATATATTTATGGAGTACATGAGATGTTTTGATACAAGGATGCAATGTGAAAGAAGCATGTTAAGGAAAATATGGTATCCATCCCCTCAAGCATTTATCCTTTGAGTTACAAACGATCCGATTACATTTTTTAAGTTATCTTAAAACATACAACTAGGTAATCATTGACTATAGTCACCCTATTGTGCTATCAAATAGTAGGTCTTACCCATTCTTTCTATTTCTGTTGTCCCCATTAACCATCCTCACGTCCCCTGTAAACCACGTACGATTTGCAGCCTCTGGGAAGCCTCCTTCTACTCTCTCTGTCCATGAGTTCAATTGGTTTGATTTTTGGATACCACAAATAAGTAAGAACATGTGATTTTTTAGTAATAAATAAGTAAATAAATAAGAACGTGTGATTTTTCTTAGATACCACAAATAAGTAAGAACATATGTTTGTCTTTCTGAGACTGGTATTTCACTTAATGGAATAACCTTCATTTCCATCCATGTTGTTACAAATGACTGGATCTCATTTTTTTCTGGCTGAATAGTACTCCATTGTGTATATGTACCACATTTTCTTTATGCATTCATCTGCTGATGGACGTTTAGTTTGCTTCCAAATCTTAGCTATTGTGAACAGTGCTGCAACAAACATAGGAGTGCAGATACCTCTTCGATAAGCTGATTTCCTTTGTTTTGGGTATATACCCAGCAGTAGGATTGCTGGATCCTATGGTAGTTATATTTTTAGTTTCTTGAGGAACCTCCAAACAGTTCTCCATAGTGGTTGTATTAATTTACATTCCCATCAACAGTGTACAAGGGTTCCCTTTTCTCCACATCCTCACCAGCATTTGTTACTGCTTGTCTTTATTATAAGCCATTTTAACTGGGGTGAGATGATACCTCATTGTGGTTTTGATTTGCATTTCTCTGACAGTGATATTGAACACCTTTTCATATGTCTGTATGCCATGTGTATGTCTTCTTTTGAGCAATGTCTATTCAAATCTTTTGTCCGTCTTTTGATCAGATTATTAGATTTGTTTTTTCTATAGATTTGTTTGAGCTCTTTGTATATTCTGGTGATTAACCCCTTGTCAGATGGGTAGCTTGCAAATATTTTCTCCCATTCCATGGGTTGTCTCTTCGCTTTGCTGATTGTTTCCTCTGCTATGCAGAAGCTTTTTAACTTGATGTGATCCCATTTGTCCATGTTTTCTTTGGTTGCCTGTGTTTATAGGGTATTGCTCAAAATATCTTTGCCCAGCCCAGTGTCCTGGAGATTTTCCTTAATATTTTCTTGTAGTAGTTTTATAGTTTGAGGTCTTAGATTTAAGTCTTTAATCCATTTGATTTTATTTTTGTATATGGTGAGAGATAGTGGTGTAGTTTCATTCTTTTGCATATGGCTATCCAGTTTTCCCAGCATCATTTATTGAAGAGACTGTCTTTTCTATGTTCTTGGCACTTTTATCAAAAATTAGTTCACCATAGGTGTGTATATTTGTTTCTGGGTTTTCTGTTGTGTTCCATTGTTCCATGTTTCTGCTTTTATGTAGACCTGAAGCCAGCACAGTGCTGGGTCTCGCCCAAGACCTGCTGTAACCACTCCCTGGCTGCTGACTGTGTTTGCTCAAGGGTCTGGGGCTCTACAATCAGCAGGTGGCAAAGCCAGCAAGGCCTATGCCCTTCCCTTCAGGGCCATGAGGTCCCCCAGGCCCCAGGTGGGTCCAGAAGTACTGTCTGGGAGTCAGACCTTAAAAGTCTACCTGGTATTCTTTTGTATTACGACTGAGCTGGCACTAAAACTGTAAGACTCAATCTTTCTCAGTCTTCCCTCCTTTTTCCAAAGGCACAGGAGCCTCACCCCGCAGCCACCTTTACCCCTGGCCACATGGAGTATTGCCAGATTACTGCCAACATTCCCTTAAGGCCCAAGGTCTCTAAAGTCAGCTCGTGGTGAATGTTGCAGGGATTTGGGACTCTAGTCAGGGGAGAGGACTGCCCTCCGGCCGAAGGCAGGCCCAGAAATGCTAAGACTCAAGTCTTGGAGTCAGGGACCCCAGGAACCCATTCTTGGGGTTCTTGGTACCTAAGATGTTGGTAGTTGAGTCCCTTTTATTTTTCTCTCTGCTTTTCTCAAACAGAAGGAGTTTTGCCCTGTAGCTACCACAGCTGGTTATGTGCTGAGTCTCACCTGAAGCCAGCAAGTCCCGGAGACTCACCCAAGGCCTTCGATGTAATTCATGGGTGTCACTGCTGGTTATTCGGGGCCCAAGGGTTCTTCAGTTAGTAGGTGATGAATGCTGGCAGGACTGGGTTGTTTCCTTCAAGGCAGCGGCTTCCCTTCCGGCTCAGAGTATGTCTAGAAATGTCATCTGGGAGCTACGGTCTGGAATGGGGGCCTCACGACTCTGCTGGTGCCCTCTCCTGCTGTGGCTGAGCTGGTATCCAAGATGCAGGACAAAGTCCTCCCTACTCTTCCCTGTCCTCTCCTCAAGCAGAAGGAAGGGGTCTCTTTTGGAGCCAGGTGCTGTGCACCCTGGGGCCAGGGGAGGGGTGACGCCAGCACTCTCTCGGCTGTCCCAGCTGGTGCCTCAGTATGTCGCATGCCCCCTAAGTCCACTGTCTCTGGGCCTAGTTCAGCTGTAGGACTTGCCTACGAGTTGCAGTCGTTATGGCCTAGACTGCCTTTCAGGTTTACTTAGAGGCCAACAGTACTTTGGCCCTCAGTGGTGAGGTTTGCAGGCACTCAAGTTCGGACCTCTGGGATTGGAGATTGCCCCCTGGCTAGGGCTAGTTTAAATGCTCCCTCTGTGGGCAACATCAGGTGAGTTTGGTTTGCTTTTCCTTTCTCCTCTAACAGGACAGCACTGAGTTCAGTGCCTCACAATTGCTGTATTCTTCCTTGTATGAGTCTGTTTTCACACTGCTATGAAGATATTACCTGAGACTGGGTAATTTACAAAGAAGAGAGTTTTAATTGTCTCACAGTTCCACATGGTTAGGGAGGCCTCAGGAAACTTAAAATCATAGTGAAGAGGAAGAGGCATGTCTTACATGGTGGCAGATGAGAGAGAAAACGAAGAGCAAAGCAGGAAGAGCACCTTATAAAACCATGAGATCTCATGAGAACTCACCCCCGTCTCAGGAAAACAGCCCCCATGATCCAATCACCTCCCACCAGGTTCTTCCCTTGACCTGTGAGAATTATGGGGATTACAATTCAAGATGTACTTCCCATAATCCCCACATGACCTGGATGTGAGACATGGAGTCAACATTTGCAGCCTGACGATGTGGTAGAAAAGAAAAACCCATATTCTGGGGAGAAATTCAAGCTGGCTACAGAAATTTGCATAAGAAACAAGGAGCCAAATGTTAATCACCAAGACAGCGGGGAAAATGTCTCTAGGGCATCTCAGAGACTTTCACAGCAGCCCCTCCCATCACAGGCCCAGAGGCCTAGGAGGTAAAAAATGGTTTTATGGGCAGGGTCCAGGGCCCCCCTGCAGTGTGCAGCCTCGGGACTTGGGGCATCCCACCTGCTCCAGCTGTGGGTAAAAGAGGCCAAGGTACAGCTCAGGCTGTTATTTCAGGGGATGCAAGCCCCAGTTACAATTCCAGATGAGATTTGGGTAAGGACACGGAGCCAAACTATATCATCCCTTCCCTAGCACCCAGAGATGCTCTTGTCACCACGCACCACTGCTGGGGGTCAGGGAGAGGTGGCACTGGCGATTCAGGACAGTTTGTTCTATGTCTTCAGTGCCCCTTTTCGCAATAGGAAGTTAAAAGCCAGTACTGTGAATGCTCATCTGGCGTTTGGTTCTCATGAAGGTGTTTTTTTCTGTGTGGATAGTTGTTAACTTGGTGTCCTTGTGGGGGTGGGGGCAATTGGTGAAGCTTTCTATTCCAGCATCTTGCTCTGCCTGTTTTCTCTGACTTTTATAATTTCTTCTCCTTTTGGAAATTTCGGTATTTGAATACTTTTTACTTTATGATGTCCGATATGTCACTTAGGCTTTCTTCATTCTTTTTTGTTAGATTTTCACCTTTTTTGGACTGTGTTATTTCAAAAGCTCTGCCTTCAATTCAGAAATTCCTTCTTCATGATCTAGCCTATTGTTGAAGCTTCTCGATTATATTTTTTAATTTTGTTCATTGAATTCTTCAGTCTTAGGATTTCTCTTTGGTTCTTTTTACGATATCTCTTTGAATTTATTCAGATCATTAACTGCTTTTCTGAGTTTTTCATATTGTTTTACCTGTGTTCTCTTGTATATCACTGAGTTTCCTTGAGGTCATTATTTTGCATTTCGTTTCAAGCATATCATAGATTTCCTTTTCTTTGATATCTTTTTCTGAAGAATTATTGTGTTGCTTTGTAGGTGTCATGTTTTCTTTTTCGCATTTCTCGTGTCCTTACGTCTGTGCATCTGGTGTCATAATTGCTTCTTCTAAGTTTTTGGATTGGCTTTCATAGAGAATGACTTTTTCATGTAGATATATTTACAGTATTTGTTGGGTAGAGTTCTTTAGCTCTGATTTTGGGTAGGAACAGTACTGTGGTCTTCATATTATTTCTTTGTCCATAATCAGTGTCAGCAGTGATCACAGGTTCTTTAGTGGCTTAGGCTGTGATTGTTAGTGGAGGCTTGGGCAACCTTTGCTGGGGATGGAGACACCAGGTGGGCTGGTTCTTAGGCCCCTTGTTGGCACATGTAGGTACTGGTGATGGTGGCAGTGGGCCAGGCATTCTGGTCCTTAGGTGTCTAAATGACATGAGACTGTCTGCAGGCCTTGTAATGGTGCATATGGCACCACTGGAGATGGGTTGACCCAGGCCTGTCCTCAATTTCCTTGATGCCATGTGCAGGCTTATCCTATCTTCCAGCCCCCAGATAGGATACAGATGGGGCCTCTGGACATTGTGCCCCAGAGAGCTGGTTCTCAGGTCCCCTGAAGGCATGTACAGGTGTGTGGTGGCCTTGTCCTTGGAAGGGGTGGCATCGCTGTAGGTGGCAGTGGCCCCAGGCAGGCAGCTCCCATGCTTTGAGGAAAATGTGCTTCAGCTCCATTTGTCATGGGGGCAGCCTCCCTGGTGCACTGGTTCTGCTGGTCCCCAGGGTATAGGACACAGTGTGGGCTAGAGTACTGGATATCTGGCTGTACCACTTGGTCCAGCTGGCCTCATGATACTGCAGCCCTCTGAGTGGATATGGGGGAATATCAGTGGCATTCCAGGGATGTGGAATGGAGGGGCTTCTGGGGTCCAGGGCAGGATATAGTCTGGTTGTTGCTGGGCTCTTAAAATGGTGCCATGCCACAGCACCTTGGGTCCTGAGGGGTGACTAGAATGCAGCATGAATGCCCTTGGGAACAATTCCATGATGGACTCCAGTCAACTCCCTATACTAGGCTCAGGGCCTGTGAAGCTGAGCAGCTCTCCTGTGGCTAGGATGGCAGGCATCTGTGGTGGTAATGTGGACAACTGGAGATTTCTTGCTTACCTTTTCCCTACAATGGGGAGCCTTTCCTGGCTCTGAGCCAATCCCGGCTGAGACTGCTGCTTATCTTCCCTCTTTCTCTGTGCCTTGGAGAGTCCCTGTCCCTTTTGTGCTGAATTCCATTGTTCCCTCTTAGATGCTCTGTTTAACCTGTGGTTATCTGCTGACTGTTTTCCTTCTTTTTGGTGGAGGAGATGAGTGCCAGCTGCCTCTAGTCAGCCATCTTGATGATGTCTCTCTGTTTCTTTAACATTTGCTCCATAAGGCTTTTCCACTGCAGCACATTATTAGATTGAGATCACTTATGTAACAACTTTTACTCTGAGAAAGGAGAGACAAAGTAAATGCCATGAAGATAATGAATGGACTTTTCTTCTGTTACTCATATACCTTTTTCATGTTGGACCTACTTATTTTTAGGTCCAATATGAAATATTTCACATAATCAGATTGTCTAAAGAAATCTTACTTTGGAAGAATGTTTACCTCACTAGAATTCTTTCGTAATTGTTATCTTTCTTGGTCTGAGTAATTATAAGTAAATTAGGAAGTGAAACTCGGAAAGGTTCAGAGATATGCCTCTGAGACTTATCCCAGGACTTACCCCTGGGACTTAAAGGAAAAAGTGGCAAAACCAAGTCTGACACCCAGATGTCATGACTAAACCTAATGCTCCTGCCAGTATACCACAACTCACTGTAACTCCCATTGGCAACATGAATCAAGAGAGGTAGTTGCTCTCACTGCATGAGAAAGGACCCTGAGCTCATTCTAATGCTGCAGGAGTCCATGAACATGATCCATTTTGCCTTAAGAAGAACTTTTGAAAATAAGGGAATTAAGTGGGAAAAGTTGAATATTCTAATAGCTCCTGAAGATTCAATCTACTTTATTGTTAGCCTTTTGCCACAGGCAAGAATGACAGAAATCATGGGAAACTGCCCTGGGATTCCTCCCAGACCATGATCTGGAATGTTAGCAAGGTAGCTTTCCACCAGCATCCTTGGTTGGAAATGAGAAGGCTCTTGAATTTAGTTCCTCTTAGGTGCCATGAATATGGTGGATCTTCAGAAAATTCTTGAGTGAATGAATGATGATCTTTTATTAAAATGGGGGTCATAGTGATCTTAGTTTTATTGTAACAGGTGACATCTGGGCTGCAATAGTATATTAGGAAAGGATTTGGCTATAAATAACAGATAGCCCAACTAAACGTAGCTTTAGTAGGTGGGGTGCATGTTCTAAAAATTCTGGAGAAGTAATCCAAGATGACAGCAGCGACTCATAGATCTCATCATGGACCTGAAATCCTTCTGTCTTCCTCCATAGTCATCCCTAGCATGTGGGTTTGTCCTTACAGTCTGAAGATGACTGATGCTTCCAAACCCCAGTCAGTGTATCTAAGCTCTGGAGAAAAAAGATGGGGTAATAAGAGGCAAAGAGCAAAGGGAAGACCTCCTAAGGATATCTACCTACACTTTATTGCTCAAAAATGATGTCATTTACTTTGTTGTTCAGAATGGTGTCATATGGCCACCTTTAGCTATAGAAGAGGCTAGGAACTGTATTTTAGCTTTTTAGCCTTTATGCAAGAGGAAGTCAAGAGAAAAGAGAGGTGTTAAATGGATTTTGGGTAGCTAGTGCATAATGTCTACCATACCCACTGAGACCATTTTCTTTACTCTATTGAGCTAAAGATTCGTTTAATATTAAAATTAGGGTTTTTCAGAGAAGGAGAACCAACAAGATGGGGTGGAGAAACAGATTTATTCTAAGGAATTGTCTCACCTGATTATGGAGGTTGAGAAGTCTCAAGATCTGCAGTTGGCAAGCTGGAGACCCAGAAGAGCCATGGTATAGTTTCAGGACAAGTCTGAAGCCCTGAGAACCAGGAGAGCCAGTGGTGTAAGTTCTGTTCCAAAAGCTGGCAGGCCCAAGTTCCAAGAAGAACTGATCAGTCCAACTCAAGCAGTAAGCCAGGAGGAATTCTCTTTTGCTTTTACTTGAGGGAATTGCAGCCTTTTGGTTCCACTCAGGCCTTCAGCTGGTTAGTTAAGTGCCACCAGAGAGAGCAGACTCCTTTACTGAGTCTGTGGATTCCAATGGCAAGCTCATAAAGAAATACTCTCACAGACACTCTATGAATAATGTTTGACCAAATATCTGGGCACCCTGTGGCCCACTCAAGTTAACATATAACATTGACCATTAAAATATTGAGATGGGTCTAATGGTGTCATGAAAACAGTACTTGATTACTCTGCTGGATTATAGTCCATGCTGTATCTAACACATTGAATGGTCCTGGGCAAGTCATTGAACCTCTCTGGATTCGTTCCATCCTCTGTAACATTAAAGAATTACACTAGACAGCCATAGGGCCCCTCCCCGCTCCTGTTTTCCCATGTTTCCATGAAATATTTTCTAGTGGAAGAGAGTAGAGTATGTACTTAGATGAGAATATAAACTTAGTTTGCAACTAATTTTTCAGTTGTATTTTTAAGTTTCTATTTGAGAATTTTGTTTAGTGATATAAACACTCCTCTGAGATCTCTGTACTATCAATTTGCCTCAAAAAAAAATACAGAGGTAAATTCAGCTTAGTGCATTCCCAAAAGATCATAAATTCAACATTAGTTCAATCAAAATTAATTTTCAGTTCCTGGATTTAAAGTTTCCAAGCTTATTTTTCTGCTTTTCTTGGAACCTAGAAAATTCATCTCACCAGTTTTCTGCATCAAGCAATATTTATTATGTGTCTACATCTGCATATTATTGGACTTACACAGTATTTTGTTTCAGGAAGGCAGGAACCCTTTTAATAGCAAGTATAATTTGCATATTTACAGTTGTCATTTGTAATCAGCTGCAGCTTAATTTCTGGAAAAAAATAAAACTTACCTTCTGAGGGAGGTTTTTGAATGATTTGGGTCCTCATGGCTTGCCCAGGTCAGAATCCAAGGCAATAGGAGCTGAACAGACCAAATGGAATTGATTGTTTCCATAAGTTTGTGGCAAGAACATAGCGTGCTGCTTTGGATGTCACATGCCTTGTTGCAAAAAACAAACAAGCTATGATTACTTGCCATGTCAATTTTTCTTTCCTAAGTCCTGTTAGAGTTAATTCTTTTGAAACACCATGTCTATCAGTCTATCAAAGCTCTGTTGCCTCACTGCTAGGTTATTGAAATAGCCCCTGATTATTCACCGGGCTCTCAATTTCTTTCTTTTCATCCTTGGCACACACTGTTTTAGGTAAACTCTCTCAGATGCCACTATTCTCATGTTGTTACTTTGCTCAGAAATGTTCAAGCATTCAGCATTATCTTTAGCACTCAGGATCAACTTCATACTCATAGGTTGCCATTCAGTGCTCTCTAGTTGCGACCCTAACATTCAACCTGCTTTTGTTCCCTTTTTCTGTTTCAAAATACCAATTTCCTTTATCTAATTGTTCCCTTTCCTCCACCCAAAAGATTTTGAAGTAGCTTACACGCACACATTCACAAGGATACATACACATGTATATATGTATCTACTTGCATATGTAATACAACAGCAATAAATTTTATTTTCGTTTGAGAAATAAAAGTGACAAATAAGATGAAAGTAGTTTAGTATGCAGAATTTATACCATATGATCCTTTATGTAACAGCTAGAAGTACTACACTTGAGCTTAACCAAAAGGCCTAGAAGCAATATATAACAGCTAGAAAAATGATGAATTTACCCTTAATGTATCAGCAGCCAAACCTAAAAGACTACTTTCAAAATTCACAGTAGCCCTAAGAAGGAAAACACAGCCAGAGCAGTTTTTCCCTGCACTGAGGCCTGAGGCACTCACAAAGCATTCTTACTGGACTTCCACAGCGAGTGAAATCACTGATTTCTATAATATTCTTCATCATAGCTGATTGACAATACTTTTTTTTTTTTTGGAGACAGTCTCACTGTGTCTTCTAGGCTGCAGTGCAGTGGCACAATCTCAGCTCACTGCAACCTCTGCCTCCCAGGTTTCAGTAATTCTCCTGCCTTGCCCCCTGAATAGCTGGGATTACAGGCGCCGCGCACCACCACACCTGGCTAATTTTTTATACTTTTTGGTAGAGATGGGGTTTCAACATGTTGGCCAGGCTGGTCTCGAACTCCTGACCTCAAGTGATCCACCCGCCCTGGCCTCCCAAAGTGCTGGGATTACAGGTGTGAACCACCGTGCCCAGCCAAATTAATACTTCTTAATAAAAGAGGTAACTAGAAGCGTGAAAAATTAGGTAATCTAAGATCATATCTCTTTGATGGTTTGTTTCTTTCCAAGAATACAATTTAGTCTCTATGGAGGAAAGCAGTGACTGCAAATCCTTCAGGTAATCCTTCACTAGTGTTATTTCTTGCAAATGGGCTTTTACATTTCTTATTTTGATTTTTTATTAAAGTAATACATGTATATAGTTTGAAAAATTAAAGTACTCTAACACAGTTGAAAACAATGGTACCCCTTTCCTCTCTTGCTCCTGCCCACGACCTACTCCTCAGAGAGAACCCATTTTAGCTTCTGGCATTTTGTCCGTGTTTTTAAACTTAGAGCTCCCTTAAGTCAGGTGCTAGGGATACTTTCTGCTTACTGGTTCAGCTTAAAGACCAATTTTTATTTCCAAGATTTCAAATTTGTTCTTTTTCACGTCTCTGTGTTTTATTTCTGCCTATTTTGGTTTTATAACTTCTTTTTTACTTTAATGCATGCTACTACATTATTCATCTCTTTGGGTATTCTAATCACACTTCTTTTAAGTGTTAGTTCCATGAAGTTTATTTTACTGGAGGGAATTTATGTTCTGATTGTTTTCAGTTGGTTAGCATTGCATTTCACTCAGTGTTCTGGAATTTTGTATGGCAGGCTCATTTTTAGTGGACAGTTTTTTTGTTTTGTTCTTTTCACTCCTTCTGTGCTCTTCCCTTCTGTCTGGTAGTTTTGCCTCCCCCAAGCCCCTCAGCCTCCAGTTCAAAACCAGAACTTAATGGCATTTGGACCTCTTGCGCCCCGGTGATGCTGAGGCTAGTGCAGAAGTGTTGCCTAGATGGTGGGCGTCATGGCTGTGTACCTAGACAAGAGAGCATGGCTCTGTTTGGCCCCTTCAGGCCCACAGCTTCCTGTAAATATCTAGCACAGGGGAACAGGTCATCAGCCCTGGTTTTGTTTATCCCGGCCTCTTTTGTCAAGCAAGGTAGCCTCACCCCATTCTCTGGCTTTAAGCTTTAAGGTTGACTGTACTCACCATTTTTATGTGAAACATTTGTATTCCCTGTTTAACCACCAGCACTCAGCTTGTACCTACTGCCACCTACTTCCAGACCTCAGGCCCTGGAGCTTCAGCTTTGTTTATTGCTTTGCATTTCTGTTCTATTTTTGGTCCAGGGAGATCATTGCCTGTTTTTTTTTTTTTTTTTGACTTGGCAAAGCTATTTTTGGTTCCTGTTTTTATATTTTACCTGTCATTACTATGGATTTGGAGTAGAAGGGAACGCTTCCAGGTTTGAACTTACAGCATCTTGATTGGAAGTCTGCAGTTGCTTTTCGAGTACATAGGTAAAAATCTAAGTCTTTGGAGGCAAAGAAAAAACGAGAAGATAATGATCTAATTTTCCTGAGGGCTTCCAAGTATGTGTGCATCTTTTACCCAGTGTCAGCCGTCTGTGGAGCAGGGGATCTATATCTTCTTTTATCACAGAGCCTTCTATGAAGAGAGATTGAGTAGGATCATTGTGAAAATGTATCCATTCTGGAAACAGTTTAATAAATGGTTCTGTAGTGGGGAGAAGCCTTAATAAACTTCTCATTCCCTGATGCTACAATTCTAAGCCTACTTCCTCTTAGTTTCTTCTGTAAATATAAAGCAATGTTAATTTTTGTCTCTGGTAATTATTTCAGCTTCTTTTTAGAAAAACTCTTTTTCTGCAACACAGAATTGCCTTCCCTCGTTTCCTTCTGAGACCCTCCACGACACCTATGAGTTACACAGCCCTGAAGAAGCCCAGCTTCTACAAAGAAATGACTTTGTGCTGGTGCTGTGTGGGAACTGCCTTGATTCCCATGTGGGCTGTACATCACCTGGGCTATGCCCTGTAAACCGTGAAAACCGGGGAACAGAGGCAGGTTTGAGTGAAAGGAAGAAACAATGATTGTCTGAAGAAGAAGAAATGAAAGAATGTTAGCGCAAAAGTTATATTCAAAGGAAATGAAAGTTCTCAGCCCAAGAAAGTTTTTATGGTACTGAGTCTATTTGAAATGGGAGCACTTACTTAAAGGTCACTAGGAAACCAAGATTTTTTCTGCTGCCTTACTCTATTTTGCTAGATAAATTGTAAGCAGAACTGTCTCCTGGTGGGATGATGAGCCCAACCAGCTCTGCGTTGTTCTCAATTTTAACAATCTAAGCAGAATGTTTCCCGTTTCTAAAGTTTTCATCATAACCAAACTATGTTGTCCTCAGGAAGATTTGACAGGGAACTGAAGAAGTGTGTGCGTGCGTGTGCGTGTGTTCATTCCCATTTTTAATTAGTTGAAACCTAACATTGCTGTATGTTACCTGTGTCTTGCTTCTCCAGACAAGCAGAAAAATGGGTTTCCCCCAGAGTGAATGACTGTCTGTTTGAGTTCATGTTTAATCAAGGAAGGGAGTTACTGACTTCATAATCACATAATCCCGTCTGCAGTGTTGCTATGACATACGGGGAGAGGCTTCTGGGCATGCTACGATGGGCTGTAAAGTTGGCTGAGAGATAAACAATGTAGCTATTGTGTTTGCCTTGGACTGTGGCGTTCACCACATCACAGGATGTGGCACTTCTTCTCTGCCTTCTCCCCAGAGGACAGGCAGCTGTGCTCACCAGGCTCCTTCACGTGGCCCTGTTATGTCCACCTCGGGTAAAAGATGGTCTCTCCACAATTTGTGGTGTCGTGAATTCTGTCTCACCTTTCCAGTTCTTGCACACACATTCTTTTCTACCATCTTTGGGGCTTCATAAGCCTCCAGCTCAGAGGATAGATTGAGGGATGGCAGCTAATGTGATACAGAGTATGTGTTCTTGTGTACCAAGTACCATCCCCAGCCCAACACATGGTCCACAGGTACGCAGTAGTGTTCAGGAAGTCTAGTACAATAAGGTGATTCTTCCTCAGATACTACTGGAAATTAGAATACCTGCTAAAGCTTATGGGGGCACTTATTGTGTGCTAGTGTGTCCAGAGTTGGTTCCTTCCGGTGGGTTCATGGTCTTGATGACTTGAAGAATGGAGCCGCGGACCTTTGCGGTGAGTGTTAGAGCTCTTAAAGATGGCACGGACCCAAAGAGTAAGCAGCAGCAGGATGTATTGTGAAGAGTGAAAAAACAAAAGCTTCCACGGCGTGGAAGGGGACCTGAGCGGGTTTCCGCTGCTGGTTGGGGTGGCCAGGTTTTATTCCCTTATTTGTCCCCACCCATGTCCTGCTGATTGGTTCCTTTTACAGAGTGCTGATAGGTTCATTTTACAGAGTGCTGATAGGTTCATTTTACAGGGTGCTGATTGGTCCATTTTACAGGGTGCTGATTGGTCCATTTTACAAACCTCTAGCTAGCTACAGAGCGCTGATTGGTGCGTTTTTACAGAGCACTGATTGGTGCATTTTACAAACGTCTAGCTAGCTACAGAGCACCAGCTGGTGCATTTTACAATCCCCTTGTAAGACAGAAAAGTTCTCCAATTCCCCACTCCACCCTGGAAGTCCAGCTGGCTTCACCTCTCACGAGGTACTCTGCAGACTTCTCTGTATGCCTCATCTCATTTCTCTCTACAACCATATCAAAGTTAGGGTTACTCTTACTGCCGTTTTACAGATGAGGCAACGGGAGCTTTCAAGAGTATAGCCCTAACCTCTTCACTATGCTGTTTCTATAGTGATAAGAGTAACAGATAGACCTTCCCTATCTTTTTAAAGAATTGGAGTGTAATTTGCATTCAGTAAAATTCACCCTTTTTAGTGTACAGTTCTACAAACTTGGATAAATGCAGTCTGTGACCACAACCACCACCACCACCATCAAGATAGAGAAGCGTTCTATCACCACCACTCCCAAATTCCTTCGTACTGCGTTGTATCCATGTCTATACCCCACTCCCAGCACCTGCTAACCCAAATCTTCTTTCTGTCACTACCATTTTACCTTTTCCACAATATCATATACATTAACCAGCCATTTCATTTGGCTTCTTTTGCTTAGCCATGTTATTTGTACACACATTTATAATATATAACCTCAATAGTTGGTTCATTTTTATTGCCAAGTAGTATTCCATTACATGGCTATTTCATAGTTTGTTTTTCTAAGTGAAGGATATTTGAGTTGTTTTCTAGTTTTGGTGGTTGTCAAAGCCACTGTGAACATTCACATACAGGTTATTGTGCAAATATAAGTTTTCATTTTATTTGGACAAATACCTAGGAGTGGGGTTGCTGGGCTCTATGGTAAATATATGTTTAACTTTATAAGAAATTGCTGCACTTTTTTTCAAAGCAGCCCCTATTGTTTTGAATTCCCACCAGCAATGACTCAGAGTTCCAGTTACCCCAAATCCTCACCAGCACTTGTTTTTGTCAGATTTTCTTTTTGTTTTTCATCCTCCTAATACATTTAGTGTGGTAACATTGCATTGTGGTTTTAATTTGCAGTACTGTAATGTGTTTTCTCACGTGTTTGTGTGCCACATGTACATCTTAATTGTTGATATATCTGTTCAAATCTTTTGCCTATTTTAAAAATTGGGTGTTTTCTTACTGAGTTTTGAGAGTTCTTTATCCTGTACACAGGTCTTTTGTTGGACATATGTTTTATACATGTTTTTTTCCTCAGTTTGCAGCTGGTCTTTTCATTCTCTTCACAGAATGAAAAGCAGAAGTTTTAAATTTTGAAATAGTTTAGTTTATCAGTATTTTTCTTTCATGGATCAGTCTTTTGAAGCCATAGCTGAAAATCTTTACCTAATTCAAGAGGAGAAAGATATTTCTTCTGTGTTTCATATTAGATTTTATAGTTTTAGGTTTTACATTTAGGAATTTGATCCATTTTCAGTTAATTTATGTGTATGCATAATGTTCTTTTTTGTATATGGATAGCCAATGATTCTAGTACCATTTGCTGAGTCAATATCTTATTTAAAGCCACAGGATATTATACAAAGAGTACAGAGTTAGATTTAGCAGAAGTTGGGTTCTAGTTCCGGAGCATCAGCAACTGGCCAGAGACATGAAATCCAAATGGTGGATAAGAGGACAGCTTGATACGGTGGAAAGAGCATGTGCTTTGCAGATAGATGGTTCTGGTTTCTGCTGTTGACCAACCCTTTGACATCAGCAAGTTACCTTCCCTGTGATGGTCTTAATTTTCTCTTTTGTAAAATGAGAATACTCTAAACCTGGCAAAGCTACTTTAAGGGTTCAATTAGATAATTAGATAATATATGTATAGATTGGGAGATGGTAGATGCTTGGTAATGGTAGCCATTATTATTATTGAATGATCTGGGGAAATAGTCTATTTGGGAGGTTCCAAGAAATACAGCATCCTCAGTTCCCATCATTTGCTGATCAGAGTCTCTGAATTGTTCACATAATTTTCTTAACAGTTTTTTAACTCCTCCTGTTCCAATTTTTAGTTGTCTCTGCTTTCTTCCCCCTTTTTTTGTGCCTAGTGCCTCTTGTTTGGTTTGGTTCCAGTGGTCACTGTGCTGGGGTGGTTGGTGTTTTTCTTTCTTTCTTTTTTCTGTTTTGAGACAGGGCGTCACTCTTTCGCCCAGGCTGAAGTGCAGTGGTGTGTTCATGGCTCACTCCTGGGCTCAGGCAATCCTCCCATGTCAGCCTCCTCAGTAGCTGGGGCTACAGGCGTGTGCCACCATGCCCTGCTAATTTTTAAAAATATTTTTGTAGAGATGGAGTCTCACTGTATTGCCCAGGCTAGTCTTCAGCTTCTGGGATCAAGCAGTCCTCCTGCCTCTGCCTCCCAAACTGTTGGGATTACAGGTGTGAGCCACCATGCTCAGCTCAGCTTGTTTTTCATTCTTGTATTCTTCCTGGCTTGCTCCCCTGCACTTCCTAACCTGGGCTCTCCTTCCAGAAGTAAGCTGACCTTTGTCCAGACTTAGGGGGCATATCACTGTCCTTCATCACTACTCGTGCTGTCCTCTTCACCCCTACAGTTCCCGACATTGCTGTCACTGAGGGGGTGTACATAGCAGAAGGAAGGGAAGTACAGCTGAGTAAGAAGACAGCATGAGTGGCACTGCACAGAGTCACATCCAGGTCATTGCTCCCCTCCCCCCAGATTCCTGGACAAAGTGGATGTCATCCTGGGCTGTCTCTGCAGTTTATTTCCCAAGAGACCAATCCTCTTTTGTAAACATTATTTATTTTTGTATTTTTAAATTTTGAATGTTTATGGCTACAGAGTAGGCGTGTATATTTATGGGTACATGAGATAAATATTTTGATACTGTCATACAATGTGTAATAATCATGTTAGGATAAATGGGGTATCCATTGCCTCAAGCATTTATCATTTCTTTTGTGGTACAAATATTCCAATTATATTTCTTCAGTAATTTTTAAATGTACAGTAAATTATTGTAGACTCTGGTCACCCTGTTGTATCAAATAGTAGATGTTATTCATTCTATCTGATTATATTTTTGTACCCATTAACCATCCCCCGTTCCCTCCCTTGCCCACTACCTTCCCAGGCTCTGGTAACCATCATTCTACTCTCTATCTCCATGAGTTAAATTCTTTTAATTTTTAGCTCCTACAAATTAGTGAGAACATGTGAAGTTGGTCTTTCTGTGTCTGGCTAGTTTAATTGAACACAATGTCCTCCCATTCCATCCTTGCTGTTGCAAGTGATAGGATCTCATTCTTGTTTATGGCTGACTAGTACTCCATTGTGTATATGTACCATGTTTTCTTTATTCATCTATCAACAGACACTCAGGTTGCTTCCAAAGCTTAGCTATTGTGAATAGTAGTGCAATAAACATGGGCGTGCAGATACCTCTTCGATATACTGATTTCCTTTCATTTGCGTATATACCTACCAGTGAGATTGCTGGATCAATGGTAGTTCTATTTTAGTTTTTCGAGGACCCTTCATACAGTTTTCCATAGTAGATGTACTAATTTACATTCCCAACAATAGTGTGCGAGGGTTCCCTTTTTTTCCACATCTTTGTCAGCATATGTTACTCCCTATCTTTTGGATCAAAGCCATTTTAACTGTGGTGAGATGATATCTCATTGTAGTTTTGATTTGCATTTCTTTGATGATGCGGGATGTTCTTATACCTGTTCACCATTTGTATGTCGTCTTTTGAGAAATGTTTATTTAGATCTTTTGCCCAGATTGTTAGATTGTTAGATTTTTTTCCTTATTCAGTTGTTTGAAGTCCTTATATATATCCTAGTTATTGATTCCTTGTCAGATGGGTAGTTTGCAGATATTTTCACCCATTCTGTGGGTTGTCTCTTTACTTTGTTCATTGTTTTCTTTGCTGTGTAGAAGCTTTTAACTTGATGTGATCCCATTTGTCCATTTTTGTTTTGGTTGCCTGTGCTTTTGGGATGTTACTCAAGAAATCTTTGCCCACACCAATGTCCTGGAGAGTTTCCCCAGTGTTTTCTTTTAGTAGTTTCGTAGTTTGAGGGTCTTAAATTTAAGTCGTTAATCCATCTTGGTTAATTGTTTTATATAGTGAGAGATAGAAATCTAGTTTCATTCTTCTGCACATCCAGTTTTCCCGGCACCATTTATTGAAGACTATCCTTCCCCCAGTGTATGTTCTTGGCACCTTTGTCAAAAATGAGTTCACTGCAGATGTATGGATTTAATTCTGGATTCTCTATTTCTTTCCATTGGTCTGTGTGTCTGTTTTTATGCCAGTACCATGCTGTTTTGGTTACTATAGCTCTGTAGTATAATTTGAAGTCAGGTAATGTGATTCCTTCAGTTTTGTTCTTTTTGCTCAGAATGGCTTTGGCTATTCTGGACCTTTTGTGGTTCCATATAAATTTGGGGATTAGTTTTTCTGTTTCTGTGAAGAATGTCATTGGTATTTTGAGAGGGATTGCATTGATGCCTCTTTCAGAATTTGCCATGTAAGAATTATTGTTCTTTTCTGAGTAAGACCACATTTGGAATCTCACAATGAAACAAATAATAAAATGCCTTGGGACAGAGACCAGACAAGGCTTCTATTGACATTTATTCCTTCATTACAGTAGGTGTTGGAGGTCACCCACACTTTGACCCTAAGTCTGAAAACAGACCTCTTCAGTGGTCACAGAAACTTCAGGGCTGCAGGGTTGGTGGAGAGTAGCTCACTCTGCAGTGGGTGTGGGCAGCTGTGGGCTCTGATTAAAACATGTAGTTGGCCCCTCCAGTGTCAATGGGAAGGATGTCCTAGAAGGAGAAAAAGGTATTCTAGTCACTTCTGTTATCTCACTCTCTATAGAAATTAAGAGAACATGGTGCCATGCAAAAATAACCTATTTATTTTTCTCAAAAAGTACATTTTCCCCTTATCTGTTAATCGGGCTCAACAGTGAACTTGAAGGCTTATGCTTTTGGTCCATAGTACATGCTCAAAGCCTTTAAAACATGACATGTTTGACCTTACCTAACTTTGGAGTTCTATAGGTCTCTGCCACACAAAGTTCCACTAACAGCTCACTGTTGGGATATGGAAAGAGGTTAAATTTCACAATAACTATCTTGGGGCTCACTATTTATATAGTCATTAACTGCGCCCTCTAGTGACATTGCATCCTTGGAAGAATGAAGCTGGGGAATTGGTGGCATTGGTAAGCTACAGGGAGTATGTAATGCAGCTCCGTGTATTAGGGATGGTAGGTGACCAAATGTGGTTCCACTTTCTCTTTCCCTGCTCTGAGAAGTTGCTGTTGGGCTTCAGGTAGACATGGTTGATGTAGAACACATGCATTTCTTCACTCTGTCTTTAAAACCTGCTGAAATGACACTCAGATTGGGCTCTTTCTGCATGTTATTGATTGCATACCTTCAGAGCTTAAAAGGTAGACGTGAGAGAGCATACTTTGTACTTAGATCCATCGAATATCACACAAGCTAAGTGGTTTGTCAGAAAGTCAGTTAAATTTGAATAGCTAGAAGAAACATTAGGCATCTAGGTCAATATCAGCATTTTGCAGAGAGGAGAAATGACTTGTGTCACTCACAAATAGAGTGACGCTGGACAATCCGGCCCAGAAAATACAAGTATCATAATTCTGGGGCAGTGCTCTTTTGATAAAGCACTGTGGGTACTGCCCTTGGTTGTGGAAGCAAGGTTAAAAGGTAAATAAAGGTAAAATAACATCAAGAGGGAACTTTTAGGCCTATTTATTTATTTACATTATTTTTCTTGAGAGATCACTTCCATTTATGTATTCATTTTCAAATACTTAACATACTATCTTTGTCCAATTTCTCAAGCCCTTTAGATGGTAGAATTCTAGAAATATAAACAGGAAAAATAGATATTTTGGGTTGGCTTTACTACTGAATAATTTAGTATATTTAAGTGTCCATTTAAGACCCTAGACTGACATTGGCCAGTGCTTTTACAACCCACTTGGGTGAGACTCCATGACAGGTCTATCATGTAAGAAGAGACTGAAGCATTAGCTGCTGTGGAGAGTCCAGGGAGCCCTGACTCACCCCAACAAGGACTAGAATTAGGAATAAGTCTTTTCTGTTTATAGCTTGAACATTAACTCTCTGGAAATAAGGCGTCTTATATTGCTTAGGGCTTAAATAGACTTAAGTCTCCTTTTTTTTGCTTATTACTCACCCATAATTACCATTTTCATCTCCAGTCTTTCAGCAAACCTGCTTGAATCTCTCCCTCCCTCCCTGTTTCTCTCCTTTTGTCCCTTTCTTTCTTCCTCAAGTATTTCATGATGTGAGACATATATCATAGGCCAACCATGGGAATCCTGAGATTGAAAGATGTCCCCTTCCTGTAGGTGGCTTCCATTCTAATGTGGAGATAGATACCCAGACACAGTTTAATTTGGTGTGGCAGTGATTTTACTGGAAGCCTGTTTGAAGTATAGTGGCAATGAAAGAGAAAAAAAATCCCTGGTCAGTCTAGAAAGACTTCACAGGAGACATTGACCTGAGATGTACAGGTTGTATAGGAATTTTCATTGAGATGGTTTCAAAGAGATTCAGTCTGGGGATGTTACTGGAAAAGGGGTCCCAATCCAGACCCCAAGAGAAGGTTCTTGGATCTCACACAAGAAAGAATTCAGGGCGAGTCCAAAAAGTGAAAGCAAGTTTATTAAGAAGGTGGAGGAATAAAGAATGACTCCTCCACACACAGCAGCCCCAAGGGCTGCGGGTTACCCATTTTTATGGTTATTTCTTGATGATATGCTAAACGAGGGGTGGATTATTCATGCCTCCCCTTTTTAGACCATATAGGGTAACTTCCTGACGTTGCCATGGCATTTGTAAACTGTCATGGTGCTGGTGGGAGTATAGCAGTGAGGATGACTAGAGGTCACTCTCATGGCCATCTCGGTTTTGGTAGGATTTGGCCAGCTCCTTTACTGCAACCTGTTTTATCAGCAAGGTCTTTATGACCTGTTACTTGTGGTAACTTCCTATCTCATCCTGTGACTTAGAATGCCTTAACCATCTGGGAATGCCACCCAGTAGGTCTTAGCCTCATTTTACCAGGCCCCTATTCAAGATGGAGTTGCTCTGGTTCACATGCTTCTGACAGGGACACACCCTGTGAAATGTCCCAGAGGCTTGAGAGAATATGGCGCATCAGGGAACAGCTAATGGTTTAGTATTGCTGGAGGATAAAGGCTGGTAAGGCCAGCAGTGGGTGGTGAGGGATGGCCTATGCTGGGCAGAGGGTTTGCATTTTCATCATGGAGGGATGGGAAGTCATTGTTAGAACAGTGAGGTTGGCCTTTCGACCCGCAATAGCCAGAAAAACGTGAGTGTGTGTAGAACCAAGAAGTCAGAAATGATTGCATGAAGAATAAAAAATTCAAATATCGGGCAAGGAAATTAGCATGGTTTTCACATCATTACACCCAGAAGAAGAGCTTGTAGAGAGCTGCTTATGCATATCTATGATGGCAGCTTTCTTCCTCCCCCACAAAGAATGAGATGCTTTTGGGTTCGATTAATACCCGGGGATATGGCAAACGGTTTGTTTCAAATACTCATCTGCTTACAGGCTGTTTCTGGGTGCTTCTATTAAAGATTAGAACATTTACCAATTGTACTGGGTATTAATTGCTGAGGTGAGGGTGTGATGGTCTCTAAACTAGCTGTACTTCCCAGTAATTAGGATATTGTATTGCTTCAGTTGCAGCCATCAGCATATCTTCTGCTTCCTCTTCTTTCAACCTTTGTTGACAAGCCGTTTTCAGACCCCGAGAACTCTAATAAGTAAGGAGAGATGTGGGCTTTCTCTTTCTCTTGTTTTGATATGTAAATTAGAATCCTGGAATTATGAAAGCGTTGATAATGTTTTCCTGTCTATAACATTAAAATTGGAAAGCTGTAGCTAAAGGCCCATAAAACAGTTGTCTCCACATTTGTCATTAAACTCCTTTATGTAATAAATTTACTCATCCTTAATTTGGAATTATCTTGCTTTTCTCAGAATTTAGTCAATCTTGGCATTTTTTCAATACCTTCTTATGCTAATTTCTTATTTATTGTGCCTTTTAAAATGGAACACATAAAGTAGCAGCCAATTAATAAATTATGTTTTCTACAACTGAAATAAAAACATGTTAATTATTTCTGAACAATTAGGTTGCGTTCAACATGGGTGAGTACTCCAATGGGAGTAACAAGCAGCCTCAGAGGATGAGGAAAATTACCTTAGTTTGACATCATATTAAATGAATATCTACTTTTTACAACTACTTCATGTTATGAATAAGGTCAGTTAAAATCATTGTAAAAATTGTGGATACTAACCTCCTTAATTTTATGTAATTGTCTTTTAGCTCAAGAAAAGACCATGAACGTTTTTATGCAGCTGCCCCATAACTATATAGTGGCCCCATAACTTAAAAAGGGACAGAGAGAACCTCTAATAGAGAAACACTGTAGAAAAGTAAGACTTTAAAGAAAGACTAAGGGCATACAAACTCTTCAGCCTGCAGGAGAAAGGAGGGGCCTTATCTGGTTGATATAGGAGTTAAAAAGAAATTAGTTGGGCAGATAGTGAGGGTAAGGAAGTCCTCGGTAAGGTTTTCCCTTTAATGAAAAGCAGTCCCCAAATCACATCTTTTCTAACAAAGAACAGCCTGTAAAATCGAGTCACAGACATAGACAAGCAAGCTGGAAGCTTGCAGGGGTGAATGCTGGCAGCTGTGCCAATAAGAAAAGGCTACCTGGGGGCCAGGCATGTTCAACATGGTGGTGTGTCCGGAATTGGTTCCTTCCGGTGGGTTCTTGGTCTCACTGACTTCAAGAATGAAGCTGCAGACCCTCATGGTGAGTGTTACAGTTCTTAAAGATGGTGTGTCTGGAGTTTATTCCTTCAGATGTTCAGATGTGTCCAGAGTTTCTTCCTTCCGGTGGGTTCATGGTCTTGCTGACTTCAGGAGTGAAGCCGCAGACCTTCACAGTGAATGTTACAGCTCTTAAAGGTGGCGTGTACAGAGTTGTTTGTTCTTCCCAGTGGGTGTGTGGTCTCGCTGACTTCAGGAGTGAAGCCGCAGACCTTCGCATTGAGTGTTACAGCTCATAAAGGTAGTGCAGACCCAAAGAGTGAGCAGCAGCAAGATTTATTGTGAAGAGCAAAAGAACAAAGCTTCCACAGCGTGGAAGGGGACCCGAGTGGGTTGCCGCTGTTGGCTCAGGTGGCTAGCTTTTATTCCCTTATTTGGCCCTGCCCACATCCTGCTGATTGGGCCATTTTACAGAGAGCTGATTGGGCCATTTTACAGAGTGCTGATTGGTCCGTTTACAATCCTTTAGCTAGACACAGAGCGCTGATTGGTGCGTTTTTACAGAGTGCTGATTGGTGCATTTACAATCCTCTAGCTAGACAGAAAAGTTCTCCAAGTCCCCACTCAACCCAGAAAGTCCTGCTGGCTTTACCTCTCAGTGGCACCATCTTCCCTTTTGTCAATCACGTGTACAGTAAGGAACAGACAACATGGCTACCTCCCAGATAGATACCTGCATAATAAAAGATTAGGGTGGGATGGCCAGCTTCTTCAGGTGCTATGCAAACATCACACCTGGTCCACCCAATCTCTCAGGCCCTATGTAAATCAGACACTGCCTCCTCAAGCTTGTCTATAAAAACCCCCATGCATTTCACCACAAAACCGGAAGGACCACTCCGGTTCCTCTCTGTCCCTGCAGAAGAGAGAGCTTATTCTCTTTTCTCTTTCTTTTGCCCATTAAACCTCCGTTCTCAAAATCACTTTGTGTGTCTGCATCCTCGATTACCCTGGCATGAGACAATGAACCTCGGGTATTTACCCCAGACAACCATGCTGCATCATGGTCAGGGAGACCTATAGTTTTCAGTCCTCACTAAGATTGGGAGAAATAGACTTCAGCTATAGGTATTTGGATTCGATGTACTGACCTTTTGGGCTTTTTTAAGAAGATATGGTGGCATTTGTTTTGTACAGGTCTTCTAAGAACAGTCTTTTTCATCTGTCTGATCTCTGCATTGCTAAAAAGCTTCCTAATCCTCAAGTTCTGGAATCCTCTGACCTGGATATCCCTGTATAAATTTAATATTTGAGATTAAATAGAAATATTAGACATCCTACCGCTAAAGGAAAAAAAATCATGAAACTTTATAAAATTGGACAATTTTTCTTTTTTACATCACCCACTCTGGGTTTTGGCCATTTTCACCTTTATCTGTTGCTTCCCACGACAACCAGCATTTACTAAATACCTACTATGTACTCAATAGCCTAGAAGAAGTTCCTAGTATATGAAGCTCCCTGAAAAGCCAAAAATAGGCAAGAATTAGAAAAGGATTCATCTCGCTAGATTTGTACCTAAATTCTTACAGTGTCAGGTCCATGGACCTTTCATGATACTCTGTGGGCCAGCATGGGTAAAGGCTGCTTTAAACCATGAAGGACAGTGAAGAGCAGGGGCTTGAATGGTCAGAAAGAAGTAATAGTCTTTTAGCGTTGGGACCCCAAAAGAAAGAAATTATTATACAGGAAATAAACTTCTTGACTCCAGTCCTGATGTTTTGGGGTTTTTTTCCCCTAGTTTTTAAGAAAGAAGTGAGAATGAATTTAAAAATGAAAGAAAAGTGGTAGACTTTTGTTTTTTAACCCAAAATAAGTGGAAAATAGCAAAATAATTACGGGATGTTGTGGGTTTCAGACTTTTCCTTGGGTGGTTTTGAGACTTGAACAAGGCACTCTTGTCAAGTTTATTTAGAGTATGTCTTCCGTCTTTGTGCTGGGAGTCTACTTTACATATTATCTCGATTTTTCCAAGGTCATTTAATATTGCTTATACAGTTTGGAAAAAATAGGCTGTTTCCATAATGCAGTTGGTTTAGTATCTAGTTACAAGGGTACACTCAGTGAAGAGCACAAAGATTTTTTTTAGTATTAATAGAGCTTCAAGGGATTGTTTTTACCCTTTTCACATTTGTCTTTTCTGACCCTAAAGATTGAACAGACAGATTCAAATGGAAAATTGCTAATATTGTCAATTATGGGCAATTACTGGGTATCAGTCTCAGTTTCTTTCTCTAACAATCACAGTGCTGCTACATTAGCTATTAGCGAAGCACAGCCTACCCTTTCTAAAAAGAGTGTACTCTTGAAAACAGTTTGCCCATATAAGTCTCTTTATTGATTGAGCTTTTCATGCTACCATAAGCTCATCTCAATTATTTCTACCCAGGAAAATTACTACTCCTGCCATCCAGCCTTTCAGTGAAGTATGCTTTGCTATGTGATATATCATTTAGATTTTTTTATTAATTTAAACGTTTTGTGTCAACAGAAGGTAGATCATTATTAACTGGTGCAATGTGGTGTCTCACAAAATACATACATGTCATAGAAAAGTAATTAACTCCCTCATTCTATTGCAGAACAGATGTGTAACTGAATAAGAACTGGGACCCAAGGGTACACTAGTGCATTTATTTATTTATTTTGTAGTCATTAAATTGTTGACTGAGAGACTTCATTGCTAGTTTCTCAAACTTCATTCACTTTTTCCTCTCAACACCCCTCACCCCCACATGATTGAAAATAGATTTAGAACTATTACCCAAAATTATAAATTGATTTTTGGCTCATTGTAGTGATTCAAGCCACAGATAGGCTCTCTTTTCAGATGAGATGAAGGTTTGATGACTTAGGGAGCTGCGAATACATAAGATATATGGGGGATTTTTGTTGAAAACCAGAAGAAGGTTTAGCAGCTGCTGTTGGTGGCAACCACAGTTGGGTTAATAAACCTAGCTAGTGTTTCCCAAGCAGCGTGCCAGAATGAGGTTAAGTCAAGACCTCACGATTGACAGAGGTCAGTTGTCACTTCTTGCCTCTCTCCCCTTCCAGCAACATGTATAATCCTGTGAGTGTTTCTTCAGCACCCTTCTCTGTTGTTTACACTACTGCAAGAGCCTCCCTAAGCGGTCTGCCTGTTTCCACCCTGTTGTCTTGGAATTTAGTTTTCTCGCAAAAGCCAGAGAATGTTTTCAGAAGGTAGCTCTTGAGCAACTTCCCACTTTCTTGGAGGGGAGATCCAGCTTCCCCAACAAGACCAGCAGGCCCCTGTGCGGCCTGGCTCCTGTTCACCCTACCAGTCTCGGCTCAGGCTCACGGCTGGAATATGCCGAGCTCTTTCTTGTCCTGGGGCCTTTGCACTTGGCTTCCCTCTGTCCAAAATCATCTTCCTGTAGCTTTGTGCTTGCCTAGCTCATCATCATTCTTCAGCTCGTGGCTTCAACCTTACCTCCTTGGGGAGAGATCCTTGACTACCCTATGAAAATCAGGTGCTGCTCTCCTCATTATTTTCTGCAATGCCTTTATTTCCATGATTGCACTAGCAAACGTTACGTATCATTTTTATATTTGCTGTGTATTTGCTTACTTGTTAGGAAAGTACTAATGACCCTATCAGTCTTGTTCTGTATTTTGTCCTCAGTGCCCAATACAGTGCCTAATAAATTTGTGTTGCGCAAGTGAATATGTGAATAAATACTGTTATTTGCCTAGCATGGAGTTAAGCTCTATAGGACATGCCAAAAATCTCTATTACCTGATGCTTCAAAATGACTTTTACTCATAAAACAATTTCATGGTAGTTTAAACAATGGGCTATCAGGAAGGGATATTCTTGCCCTCTCTTCCTCCAACACTTTGTAATACTGAGTATGGCCTACCTTACTTCCCCATACCAAGACCTACAAACTCACATGTAAACCACCCGTTGGAAAGACAGGATATATATTTCCAGTTATCATCATGACAGATTCCTTTCTGCTTGCAGTTCATGCCCCTGGTGTTCTTTCCTCCTCCAAGAATGCACACATTCCAGAGTTGATGAAACCAGACTTGAGTAACACAGTGTTGGTTTGGTGGTATACTTAGATATGTGAGTTTTCTAATCTGGTCAAAAGCATGAATATCCCCATTATCCTGTTGGAGATCTGTAT